>NC_000006.12:68670988-68974018 GCF_000001405.40 Homo sapiens | reverse complement strand
TAAAAATATACCAATTTGATCTTTTTGTCATATTATATTCAAAATTTCAATTTAATTATTGAGCAAGAAAATTAAAAATAACTTCAAAAATAACAGATGTTTAACTGTAATATAATGAAATGCAAAATAGTAGTGAAAGAATGAGGTCTATCTATATTGTGTTAAAAGTGACATCTTGCTCCCATGTGAAAGAATATTAGTCCCTTCTCTAGACACACACACTGTTGTGCTTTTCATACAAAATTGTCATTTACATGTTCATATATCAGTCTTCACTATTTGCTAGGGATCTTGTTTGGGTCTACTCACCTCTGTATCACTTGTACCTAATGGTGTGTTTGCCACATGAAGTTGCTCAAAATTGAATAAATAAATAAATGAATATATGTTTTATAAATACCTTGATAAATAAGTGAGGATCTTAAAATACTAAGTACCTAAATAAACACAGGAGTGTGATTTCTTGGGAGAAACATCTTCCTTGCAGAATAATATAATATTTAATCCATGATAATCATCATTCTACTGATACCAATTCCATTTCAGAATTTACGAACTCATTAAATTACCTTATAGTTATCAGTAGGGGAAGAATACAAGTTGACAAATTAAATCTTGAAATAATATTTAAAAAATAATTACCCAAGATAAGATGAATGGTTTGAACACATGGGTATTACAAAGCTGACAGTGTCACTGAAGATCAACTATTCCAACTCCTTCCTCTTTACAGATGAAGGCACCAAGGCCCAAAAAGAGGAAGCTTGTCTAAGGAGACAGAGCTGGTGGAGGTGTCAGCAGGACTGGATCCTAGAATCCACACTCCTCAGTCATCTTCCTTTTCTTTTCCCACATATACTCTTCATGACCTTGAATTGTTTAAGATAGTCCTCTCCCTCTGAGTATATGTAAATATATATTCATTTATTTATTCCATGTTCCCATTAAAACACATAGGCAATGTTTTCAATTTGTGTCCTCTTTGCTTGGTGGAGGGTTTAGCAGTTAATTCAACCTTCACCAGCCCCACTTTCATAAGCTGTCTCCTCCTAACCTTACCAATGATCTACCAACAAACCTCATCTTAGTCTCACACAGTCTGGGCCTTGTCTGTACCACTATATTTTGACTTTTCTCACCTTCTTGGAAATACTTTCTTCAGCATCTTAAGCCATTCTCCAACACTCCTCCACCAACCCCTCAGAGCATTCTTTCTTTGTCTCATTCTTTGTGTCCTTCTCAGAATCATTCATACCTTACTTCTTCCTTACGTTAGGTGTTTTTCTTGGATAATTTCAAGCATATTAATAATAGTAATATAATCATATTAGTATTTATTAAGCCCTTTTGGAGAGTTTTACATGCATGGACACATTTGCTCTCTCCCAACCACCTACGAGTTAGCACCTATGAGTTAGAGGTGACTATGATCCTTATTTATCACATGGGAAAACAGAAGCACAGAGAAGCAAATGAACTACTTTTCTTCTTCAAATTCCAAACTTTATTACATATTGAATCCAGAGGAGAAACTGAGTGCAGGAGGGGGAGGTTGGATGGGGAGGAGTCATTTTGCCAGGTGCTCCAAACCCTCCCCATTCGGGAGCCTGGCCATGCCCTCCTGGCTCCATCAAAGCACCTGGGCTGTTAAATGGGGCAGGAGAGCTGTGCTGAGGTTGGCAAGGCCCTTTCCCAGGACACAAGAACTGGATTTGTCACAGTTTGGCTTGGGAATGGTGGTGATGAGTAGGAGAGGACCTATCATAAATCAAAAATATAAAATAATAAAATAAAACTAATCACAAAAAAATCTACAACTCAAGTGAGGGTAGGGGCAGCCACTAGGTAGGGCTAACTCCTTCAATATCTTGGGAATAGAAACAACAGGAAAATAAACTAAGAGATACAGCAGCCACCAGTAGTGAAGCACCAATAACCACACATTCCCACACTGGTCCCAAAGGTTAGTAAGCCAGAGCTACTTCACTGCCTGTTGCATCTGTGCCCCACCCTTTGGAGAGCACATGCTCCTGGCCCTGCTGCCCCATCCTGCCTCCCACCAGCGGGCCACAGAGGTCCTTGGAAGTGTCTCCTAGGGAGAGCAGCAGCAGCGTCAGGAAGAAAAGGCAAAGCCCAGAGACCAGACAGTGGTGAGGGAAGGTACTGCTATGAAACTCGTGGTGCCCAGATTAATGCCAATGAAGGGGAAGCGGTGGAAAAGAAGAAAAGTTAGTAAATGTTGGAGCCTCAATAAGTATGTAATCAGTTGGTTTCTGATCCCACACTTCGCTTGTTATATGGCAGTCATGCCTGGACACATGCCTTCTACTTCCACTATGTATTAGGAACACATACAGTCATCCCTGTCATCTATGGGGGATTTGTACCAGGATCTCCTGCAGATACCAAAATTCACTGATGCTCAACTCCCTGATATAAAATGGTATAGTATTTGAAACCTACGCTCTTCCTCCTGTACACAGTTAATCCTTGAACAACACAGGTTTGAGCTGCATGGGTCCACTTATATGTGGATTTTTTTCAACTAAACACTTATTGAAAATACGATATTGGCAAGATGTGAGACCTGCATCTAAGAAGGGCAGACTTTTCCAACACACAGATTCTGCAGGGTGGTCTGCAGGCATTGAGTAGACAGGATTTTAGTAGACACAGGGTCCTGGAACCAAGGTATGACTGTACCATAAGACATCATCTATATACTATTTATAATATTTAACTCAATGTAAATGCTATATAAATAGTTGCTATACTGTATTGTTTAGGAAATAATGACTAGAAAAAACTTTGTACATGTTCAATACAGACGTCATTTTTTTCTGAATATTTGATTTGTGGTTGGTTCAATCCACAGAGATGAAACCCATGAATACTGACGGCCAACTATATGTGTTTCTTTGGTTCAGGTATCTTTCTTGGGTTTAGGCTGGCGTAGCCAGTTTCTGAGTGGCATTTTTTACTTGGCTATTCCAAAGAAATCTCAGGTGAAGCTGCTCACACTTCAATTCCCAGTATTATTCTCCACAATGCTGCTTGTTTCCTCTCCTTGAAATTCCTAACTCTGCTAATGGTACTACAATCTTGTTCCCGTAACTAAAACCATTGGATCCATCTTCTAGTCATCCTTATCTTACTCTTAACCTTCCATGATTTTACCTCCACCACTCACCCAGGCATTCATTCTGTCCTGGTTAAATTAGGGGAACAACCTCATTGGTTATTTCATGCACTTACCTCACATGTGTTGGGCCTGTGTCCTAGGACCTGTGCTAGCACTAACATGTGCTAGGCTACATTTTTACCTAATATGTGCTAGAGCTAGGCCCTGTTAATGTAACATGGTGCTAGGCCCTGCTTTAGAAGAACCAATGGTGCATAAGAAATGCAGTCTGGGACAGGCACAGTGGCTCATGCCTGTAATCCCAGCACTTTGGGAGGCCAAGGCGGGCAGATCATGAGGTCAGGAGTTCAAGACCAGCCTGATGAAACCCCATCTCTACTAAAAATACAACAATTAGCTGGGTGTGGTGGCGTGCACCTGTAGTCCCTGCTACAGGTGCTGAAGCAGAAGGAGGAAGATCCCAGCTACAGGTGCTGAAGCAGAAGAATTGCTTGAACCCGGGAGGCAGGGTTTGCAGTGAGCCAAGATCGTGTCACTGCACTCCAGCCTGGGTGACAGATCAAGATTCCATTTAAAAAAAAAAAAAGAAAGAAGAAAAGAAAAGTAGTCTGCCTAGACATTCTTTTAGTCAAAGGGAGGAGGCAAGGTGAAACAAAAAATTACTTGAGTACAATTATGATGAGCACTTCAAATAGTAAGTACAGGGTGCTATTTTAACCTAAAAACTGAAGAATCAAGGAAGGCTTCCTGGAGAAAGTGACATATAATTAAAACTGGCAGTGTGCGGTACAATAAATGCTCCAGGCAGAGGAAACAATTTGTGCAAAGGCCTTGAAGCAAGGAAGAGCTTGGGGCATCGAGTTCAGCAGGGCTGGAAGGAGAAGAGTAAGACCAAGTATAGAGTAATGGTCTGGTGAGAGAGGCCATGATTAGAGCCTATAGGGCCACATGGGCAGCCATTGAAGGGTTCTAAAAAAGTGAAATGATTCAATTTTAAATTTTAAGATAGTTTGCCTTCTGTGGGTAGAATAGATGGCCAATGCCGTGGAGGAGACCAGTGCAGTGCTTCAACCCTGAAACATTGATGGCTTTAGGTAGGATGATTAGACTAAAGATGAGAAAAATTGGTGGATACAAGGTAAATTGAAGAGGTAGACAAAACTATGTGAGAATTTAGGAAGACAAAGGGGTCAAGGATGATGCTTGCTTTCTGAGTTGAGGAGCTGGGTAGTAAGTGGTACTGTTCTCCTCCATCTGCCCCCTTAATCCAATTTTCATGCCACATCAAAAGAGTAATCTCTAAGATAAAGTTTAATCCCACAATTTTCTGCTTAAAACCCTCCCATGCTTCTCCAGTACTGACAGGATAACACAGAAAGAACTAAGATAGCTGTGCTTAGTGTGATCCAAAGGCCCTGCTCATAAGGGCTGTAGCCTACCATTCCCATCACGGCTCATATTTACTCTCCTATGCAGCAGCCACACAGTTAATTTTCCTGAATATTTTTGATCTGTGGTTGGTTCAATCCACAGATGTGAAACCCATGGATATTCTTATTTTGAGGGGTAAAATTCCTATTTATCCTTAAAATGCTGCTTAAATGATGTATTCTCCAATAACTCTTTCCTAATATCTCAGTTATTGAATATATGAATATTATAGCCCTTCTCACAACAGATTGAAAATACTTGGTTATATCTGTGAACCTCCCCAATTCCCCAGTGTTGCTTTTTAGACTAGCCAGGTTTTACTTTATCTTTTTAATCTGTTGTAATGAACTACAGTGGTATCTAGTATACAGTATGTGTTCAAAACACTTTCATTAAAGAAATCACTTTTACTGGGGAAATAACATACCAGCACTGTCCAATAAAATTTTTTCAATGATAGAAATGTTTTATATTTTCACTGTTCAGTATGGTAGGTGCTAGGAAAATGTGGCTAGTGCAATTGAGAAGTGAATTTTGGATTTTATTTGATTTTAGTTAATGTACATTTAAATTGAAATAACAACTATGTTGGACAGTAGTGTAATAAATGATATTCATGTTTCTATAAATGCCAACCAAAAACTATTATAGAATACTAAAAGAAGGAGAATTAGGACAAATGTTAAAGTTCAAAAAATACATCATGAATAGGTTATTACATAATTGAATTCTAGATACAACGACTCGTCCGTTTTTAATAATGACATGGCAATAGTTAATCTAATCTGACTGTCATATTTGATTATTCTTTTTGCTCCATCCATACATCCCACTTCTGTTTATTATCTCCCTCATTATCTCTTCATTTATAATCTTTCACTTTTGCTTCACTTGTACTATCTTTTTGGTTTTCAATGCTTTGAAATTCAAATTTCCTTTAGTTCCATTGGTGAACTTTGAAACACATTTAATAAAACCTGTTGCTATAGTTGAATACTAGATTTCCTGATTCAGTCGTGACATAAGAAAACGAAGATTCAATTTGTATCATGAACTTCTTCATTTCCCTGTCGGGGTATCAGAAAGTTTTTCACACTTAGTATTATTCTGGCAAAAGGTACTTCGTTGCTCCCTGCCCCTCCCCCACGGTCAAATGTGTAGTTAGAAAATGTGGTCATTGCAAACCTTAGCCACTAGATGGCACTAGTGAGCCAGTAGGGTGAAATGTTTACTGGGCCGGCTGCGGAATCTGATGGGTTCAAAATCAAGGTGGGGAGTAAGAGTAAATATGTGAAATAAGTCAATGCTTCATTTTTTTTTTAAGGCAAATAGTTGGGGAAAAATAAAACGTCCTCTCTTCATGCAAGTACAATGTTTAATGATTAAACTAGCATCAGTTACAGCTTACCTCTCCTCTTCCTTGCTCCACTGTCACAGCTTCCCACCAGCTGCACAGGCCTTCTCCACCCTTCTTCAGTACTACAGGCCGACTGCAACCTCAGAGCTTGTGTGCAGGTTCTTTCTGCTTTGACTATCCCCCGCTTCCTCCCCCTCAAACATGTCTGCATGACTCATGTCTTTCCCGCCTTCAATCTTTTCTCAAACCTCACATTCTCAGACCCCACTGACTGCCCCTCAAACACTCCCACCCCTTCCTCTCCTTTATCTTTCTCCAAAGCACTTTCCTGTCACCTTGTAACATCTATACATGTTTTTAGCTGATTTATTTTTCTCTTTTGGCTAGATCTGTTTTTGAATTACCCTATTTCTTAAGATCGCAGAGAATGAAGATGATTTTGCAAAAATACTGTAGACGTTGTGTGTGGGGCGGGGGTGGAGGTGGGGGGTGGATCCTCTAGCAGTAGATAGCCGTGTCCAGTTAGGAGCAGAAAGATAGGGAGGTTAGCTACTACAGTTACCTTAAAAATTAGTCAAAAGATGTTTCCAGGGTATCATGTAATGACTAAGTTTGGCCTTGGAGGGCTATATCTGACTTACTAAGATCCTATAGGACCATTTTTTAGAATCCCCCAATGTGCCCTACACACATCCTCACTCTGGTTCAGGAAGAAGCTGATTAAATAGTTGTTTTCCTTTGACCAACCACATCTTTCTATTACTGAATTTTATCTTCTTAATGACTATCAGTTTGGTCTGCCTACAAACAGCCAAACAAAATGAAAAGCAAAAGTCAATAATTTTTTAAACCTAGAGATGTCAACAACTTTTTGTTTTGTTCCACAGTAAATTTATGAAGCCTTGGATTCATTGTGCTTCTTGGAGACAGAAATCCACTACACAAATTATTATTATTTTTAAAAAGGAAGATGGCAGGGGAAATCATAGATTCACAGGTGCAAACTGGTCCAGGGTTTTCAGCTTTTTAGTAGTAATGTCAAACGGTACAGCTGCTTTAACTATTTTATCAAAGGTGACTTGGCATTCTTTGAAGAGTCTATCTCAGAAAATAGGTCGATTTATGCTTATACCAAAAGCAAAATAGCTTTAGACATTAAAATAACAATTGATTTTCTGCCATCTCATCTTTATGAATTCCCCAGTAGTGGGATCTTTCTAGGTACTTCTCAGTGCCACTTATAGAATTCATTCATTCAACAAATATTTACTGGGCACCCAGCATATCCCAGTCACCTTGTTAAATACTACACATAGAAAAGGCTAAGTAAGAATAGTCGATGTCTCTTGACTCCTAAAATGGTCATAAAGATGATAATTTGAGGAATTACAGTACACAGGATGCCCACTCTAAGCTGAGAAGCCCTGGCTGCTCTGGGAGTACCTTAGGGAAGAGTGTGTCAGTGGAAGATTTCCAGAGGGATGTCCAGGTTGAGGTGTAAAGGAGAAGCAGGACTTCCACCAATGAAGAAGGGGAGAGTGTGTCCTGGGAACCACATGTGGGAAAATCCAGGGAGCAAAGAGAACTGGGAATAACCAAGAAGGTGACCGTTTCAGAAAGGGTAAAGTGTAAAGTTGGGGATAAGTAGAGGTGGGTGATTCAGCAGGAGGAGGGGTAATATATGATGAGGTAAGCAAGGATCTTGACTTTATATTAGGGGCAAGGGAAATTTATGACAATGTTTTAAATGCTTGCTATGCCTGCAGTTTGGAGAAAGGGTTGAAAGAAAGAGAGCTGAAGACAGGGAGGCCTACCACAATCTAAATGATGTAATTAGGGAAGGGATGAAGAATCATAGGATGTAGATTAATTCAAAATTTATTTAGGAGGTAGAATGGGCTCAGCACTATGGCTGATTGTATGTAAGAGGTGAGGAGGATAAAGAAATAAAACACAGAACTCAGGTTTCCAGGAAGGATATCTTATGTGCTAGCGAGACCCTGAACTACAACATGTGAGGAAGAGATGACTTGGGAGAGGAGATGCCGAAAATAGTTTTGAGTTTGACATATCTAGGCACATACAGGTATTATAAAAAAGTTAATTGATATATATGATGGAATCCAAGCTCCAGAAGAAAACAAGCTAGAGATAGAGATTTGTTTTAATTATTTTTTCTGTTTAATGGCACTTGTGTGTGTTTTGTAAATTAGAAAATAAACTAGCTGAGGCTGCTCTCTAGACTGAACATAAAAGCATACGATTGTGCAGCAATAGGAAGGATTCTCTCTTTGTATGCCTTAGCTAAAAGGAATAGTAACTTTGTTCATCAGCTCAAAGATCTCACTGTTTGCTCTTACTAGTGCAAAGATATAAAAATCCATTTGTAAGATACAACTATACTTGAAGTCACAAGTATGTAGTTAGCATGCCCCTTAAAGTAAGGTAGCAATTACCTAGTGATTAGCTGTTAATCTGTCTATTCAAACTGATTTTCTGTCTCTTAAAAAGAGCAGAAATGATACAGGGCTTAAATCAATTTTGTGTGGAAAATTAGTTTTTACCCCATATGCTAGAATTTCAGCATTAAAAAGAAATTGATTCTAAACTATAGAGCTGATATACACACACACAAAAAAAAAACATGTACTACTCAAGAACCCACATTTCAAAATTCGCTTGTTGGCAATTCATGAATTCTTGTGTTTGGGGAATTCCCTGTGCTGGAGGATGCAGAGGAAAATAAGACGGATCCAGTGTCTGTGCTCAATGACTTACAGCTCTAATTTCCAAGGTGGTACCTACTCATGTGAAGAATTCATGCTGCTGCTAAGGTCTGTGGGAAAAAGAAGAGTGTTTATGAAGTGTGTTTCATAACAGCATTCCTCATATAGGAAATGGTTTTAATCTGTCTCAAATGGAAACAACATACAATTATATCAGCAATATTTACATAACATTATGAGTTATTGTTCTTACTGTGTTATATATTTTAATTCACAGAATTCTTATAACCTTGTGAACAGAATTGTTATTCTCATTTTAAACATGAGGAAGTCAAGACAGAAAGTGTTTAGTGTTTAGCCTGAGGCCACTAAGCTAAGAGATGATGGACCTATGGTCAATCAAATAGTTGAGTCCATTCTCAGAGAAGTTTACCTCTTCTCTAAGCAGAGGAGTCTTTTTATTGTTATGGTGGTAAACAAGTTATTTATACATTTTGCAAATATTTGTTTTTAAGTCTGGAAGTTAGCAAACCATGAACTTTCAATTTATTAGCAAATGGTATATATTGCAGATTGTTTAAGTACCTGGTGGACAGTGTTATATATACTTACTCATAAGCAAATTCTGTATTATTATTGCATAATTTTATATTTAAACTTAGCAGACAAGGTCACTCTAGTTTCAACCTGATAACAAAGTTAATTAAAAAATTAGCTAACTAACTTTGAGGAATAACTCTAAAAAGCTATTTACTAACTTTTAGTTATACTGAATTTTATACTGGGGTATGCTCAACATTTTGCTGGAAAGTTACGTTTACTAAGTTTCTGTATTACCTTAGGAACAGCCAAAGACGACAGTGAGTCTTAGCCTTCTCTAGGTCATAGCATATGTAGAAATGATAGTATTTGGAGGCACACTGGGAGAAGTAGGCAAGGCTACTGAAGACTGGAGACCACTAGCCACAGTCTCCTGCCTTGTCAGTTGCTCTGAGGCTTTAGGAACCACTATTTGGGCACAGCTGGGACAAATCCTCCCATGACAGGGTAGAACTGCCTTGAGAAGCTCTGGCTTAAAATAATAAGCTGGGCTGAGATTTGGGGAAACTGAACAACTCGCTATAGAAACATATATTTTTCCTACCTCCCATATCTCAATTACTTATTTCCAAAGAAAGATGAATCATACCACAATTTATAACTACAATATAAAAAATCATATATGTGATAGAAATGTTCTTCCAGTAAATCAGTCCATTGAACAGACTTTTGAAACACTGAAAGGCCATGAAATGTAAGACACTAACATCAGAGTCATTGCAAACTTTTTATTCATATGCTTTTATATAAATGTTTTCATTAGTTATAGCTTTTATCATATGAAATAAAAACATTCAAAAGGGCTTGACCTATTATATTTAACTAGGCTCAGTGAAGAATCAGGGATTCAGAAGGCTGAGAACAGATAGTTCATCTGCAATAAGCTGGAATTTCAACAGATATAATCATATAATAATAATACTATATAATAAGGAAATATCAAACAAATTTATAGGGGTTCAAAGAAGAAAGAACACTTATGAGATTGTGGGAGAAAGAATTATTAGGAGAGCAGACATCTCTTAATGGATGGGCTCCCAAATTCTCCCCTATCAACAGATGAGGATAAGAGAGGGGACAGGGACATTAGGGGAGCCCAAGTGAATAACAGTGCAAACAGCACCATAAGGGGAGAATATGCACCCCTGTATTCAGAAACCAGAGGCTGCATCTGCTTGATTCTATCACATATGAACAAATGTATATTAAAATATATATCATAAATGAGTAGGATGAGATAACATTGGAAAGCTATTGAAGCTGATAGAAATATTAGAATCTCAAGGATCCCAGTAGGATGAAATTTGGCCAGTAATGAAAAGCCACAGAAGTTTTTGAGAAAGCAAGTCATAAGAACAAGGCTATAAAGAAGAGAGAATAATCAGATAAATCTGTGTGGAAGAGATTAGAGAAGGCAGGTGTTGTCATAATATGGGTAACAGAGTACATGAACTGCCACTTGATGATCCTAATTAGCTCCAGCATTTCATCCTTGAAATAATCTTCTGCAGCACATATTATTATCCCTATTTTATAAATGAGGACACCAAGGCCCAAGTCGGTACTTTGTTGGACTCCATAGTTCAGGCTCTTCCTGCTGCACTGCTCCTCCCTTACTGGAAGCTGGTGGCAGGAGGAAGTGAAAGCAGGGCCACTGAGAGAAATACCATGATGGACTCCATCTGGAACAGGGATTGCTAGAATGAGGAATCACTCCAGATGACACAGAGGATCTGGTGATCAAAGAAAAGTTTCCCCCAGTTACCCAGAGTCTGAATTGAGTCCCAGGTAGGAAAGCTTTATCAGGTTTTTGTGAGTGATTAGACATAAAGGTACATTCATGGGTGTTGCTCACAGAGGCTATAGTTGATGAGAGAGAGATCAACAAAAGAGAAGAGTGCTGGGGCAGTCTTAGGTCATTCATATGTCAGGATACACAAGGTGAGAAAAATAAGTGTTGATGAGAAACATCAAAGACCAATATTCAGATTTAGTGTCTTGGTAAACATTAAGCTCAAAAAAGGTTTAAAAGTAATTTTAAATCTCTTAATTTAAAATAATTGTTAAACAGTTCCTAAAGTTTATTTTTTCCCAGAAAAACAATAAGGGATGAAAAGAATAAATAAAAAAATAGTAAAAGGTGGTGCTTAAATTTTTCTTTTCAATTTGAGAATGATCAGCATGTTGCTAAATATTTCTAAATTGAACAAGGTAGGGTAATATAAGATTACAGAAAATTGCTTTTTAAGCAATTCATGGCAGAAACTGTAAGAGTCTGATCAAAGTCTCATCTGAAGAAAATCTGATAAAATGAATTATGACAATAATTATCTCCATAGCAACAGGTTTGAATAATGGGCATCTGGTATACATACTGTAGCCACAGTAGTACTATCTGTTATTAATTCTTTTAGATCTCAGCGGTTCTTCCCCAAGTCTGCCCATACAACTCAGCTTGATTTGCTGCAGAACTGTAGACTAAAATAGGTGGTAAAACTCATCCTTTTTGAGAAGATTGGATACTATTTTAGGTATTTATTAAAAGCAACAGGTGGTCTCTCTCATCTATGGGATATCTTCAAGTTCTAATTCATTTTCCTGCTTTTTACTATTTATCTGAAGTGACTTGGCAAGAACAAATAGAACATTTAATATTAAAGAAGTCAATACCTAGTGCCACCTACTGTCACCATTAAACTCAGTGGCTGGTTTTAGGTTAACAACTGGTATGGACACTTGAGTAGGGCCTAATTTGCTATTCCCAAAAATATGCAGTCAAAACTTGCTTTAACCTTTTGAAGAATGCAACAGGTAATAACATAATTCCTTAAAGAGTATACAGATAATATCTGAAAGCAGAAAATAATATAAATTCCAAAGGAATAGGAGCTTTAAAAAGTACTATTTGTGCTTAATTAAATAATATAAATTCCAATGAAATAGGAGCTTTAAAAAGTACTGTTTGTGCTTAATTAAACTTGGTTTGAAATGAACAAGGTAAAGCAGGTGTCAATTTGTATGCAAATATTTCATTATGGAGTAGTGTATTTTCTCTTTAGAAAAGAAATGTAAATTTTATGCTGACATATTTGGGTTTCTAATAATGATTACATTCAGTCTTAAAATTGAGTGGTTCAAGAGTTTAGTTTAGAAGAATCTAACTTGTTAAATTTGTCTCAAAGACAAAAATATTTGTATCAGTAGTGATTAGTTCACTATTCTACTAACTGGAACCTGAGGAGAAAATAAGTCAAAGTGAGCTAAGACCTCATCTTCCTCCATGACACCATCCCCACACCAAGTATTTTATAAGTGTATGTGTATATATTAGCTAATTAGCTAATACCTGTGGGGGATAAGAGGCAGGGAAAATATACTGCTCAGGAAGAGAGATGCTGGGGCTGACAACATCAGGACTGCAGATCTGTGTCCTGGCAGTGCCTGGTTTTACATCAGACTTGTTCAAATGATACCCAAGTTGTTTCTCCTGCTCTTCGTGGTAGAGGAAAAATGAGGATTGGAGAACTGAGAGTTGGATAATGACTAAACCATCTTTCTTTGTGCACAACAGCTAGTTAATAGTCCTATTTTTCTTTAAATGACTGCTGTAAAGAGATCTTATTTTGGCTGAAACATGAGTTGGCTAGAGGCATTCAAAATGAATTGTGTTTTCATTATCAACCAATTCCAGAAAGAATCCCTCATCGTTTATGAAAAAGGATGAAAAAAATAAAATTTTGCAATTTTGTTGAGGTGATATTTCAACTTTCTCCAGTGGAACAGAGGTAGAGGACTGTATTCCACTTCTTTGTTAATTTTATCACCTTATCATTATTATTTTTACTATAAGTTAGTGCAACTGAAAGGATGATTTGCAGACCAGCATCTTCAGCATCACCTGAGACCTTCATAAAAATGCAGATTCTCAGGCTCATTCAAGACCTACTGAGTCAGAATGGCTGGTGGGGTCTGGCTCAGGAATCTGTGTTTTAACAAGCTCTCTGGATGATTCCTATGTACACTGAAGTTTGGGAAGCACTGCTTTGGACAATGAGGGAGGCACTCAAAAGAAGATAGGAGTGCAAAGTAGGCAAGCTTTGTTCT
This sequence comes from Homo sapiens, assembly GCF_000001405.40. Classification (NCBI taxonomy): domain Eukaryota; kingdom Metazoa; phylum Chordata; class Mammalia; order Primates; family Hominidae; genus Homo; species Homo sapiens. Next base: position 68,960,658 of record NC_000006.12, on the reverse strand, counting down.
TCTTTCCTACTGAAGCTAAGTTAAAAGACAATTACTTAGAGACCAAAGGAAGACTCTCCTGGTCTCCAGAGGAGGCATAATCCTGTTGGAGAGCAACCTTATACAAATAAGGAACCGTCACTTCCAGAATCACATTTTTCGTAAGCAGGGTGGGGATGGGGATCACATTCGCTATATTATAGGGCACCAAATCCTAATACAAGTGTATTACAGTGTTCAAGACAAATTTTGCATTACCAACACTACGGCTGCCCTCCTTTAGTATGAATATTTATAGATAAACATCACAATAATTCCTACATTTCTGGTCTAAGTTGCTAATATTGTATACATTTATGATATGGCTGACTTACTTCACAAGTGTTTATCAGCACATTTAACCTGGAGGCCTCACCCACCACTTACAGACAAAGCAGCTGTGGTTCCAAGAACGAAATTTTATGTATAAATAAAGTGTAATTTTTACTTGTAAATGGTAGGTTCCAACTTAGCAGTTAATGACTAAAGAGTAATGATCCTAGAATTGGAGTTATAGAAGTAGCAAGCCCTTCTCCTGGGAGCAGGGCAAAGTGGTTCCTACGAAGCTAGAATGTAAACTTAGGACAGTCCAGCAGTAACACTTGCTTTCTGAATATTATTAACCAGGGGAATATTGGGGTGAAAATCAAACTAAAAACCTAAAAAATATTATGTATGACATTGTAGCAATTAATAAAATTAGGGGAGCTATTACCATCCTACCATTTTAACCTTCAAAGCCTGAGGATACACAATGAGATTGAGATAAATGAAACCATTATCTGGTGAGTCTGACCAATTTAAAAATTGGACCACTTATTATCTTCCCTGTAGCTATTCTATAGCCCAACTAGCATTATTTTTAAAAAATGTTTTCTTATTTCTACAATTATTTTTTATGAAAACAAAAGAAATACATTTTTTGTCATCAATGATGACACTTTTAATACTTTTATTTAATCTATCTACCAGCAAAGAAATATCCTAATCTTGAGGGGAAAATAGTTTTATTTTTCATTTTCAGTAGACATCATAACAGCTTTAGATTAGATCCAGATGATTAATCATTATTTTCATTAATTATTCAAACAAAGATGTTCATATATATTTCTCCTTCCTGACAACAAAAGGCCTCTTAGTAAACTTGATTAATTTGTTTTGACTCCAAATTAAGTGAAGTATAAAATAAACAGTAGTTGTTTTCAGCAACTTGAAGAAAAATTAAGAATGAATAGACTAAAAATAATACTAGAAAAAGCATATTGTTTAAAAAAATTGTTGAAGCTTTGTTGTTAACACAAAGACAAAGATGCCTTAGAAAAATGTTATGGTAATTTGAAAGTTTTCTCAATTTATATTGTCAGTGTGTAAATTTGAAGCAATATAATGGCTGAAATTAGGAACGCTATACTCATAATCACAACAGTAATACACATTGACTACAGAGAGGACATTGAACAGAGTTGGAACTCCAGTATATAAATCAAGTACAATATGGAAAACAGTTATCAAAAACTTGATAAAATAATTTGGGGATGATGTGACTGCACATAAAAAGTTAAATAATTAATATGAAAGAAAAACCCCTTTTGTAAATTAAAAAAATTCTCTAAGAAAGCAGAGGTATTTTTGAAATTAACAGTCACACACAATTTCTGATGGACAATGCAATTTTTGTTTATATAAATGCACCAGACAAGGATATATTCAAAAGCTTGGTGTATATGTACACACACACACACACACACACACACACACACACACACACACTATTTTTCTTTGCCCCTGTATAAGTAGTGATGTTTAAATTATTTAGCTGATTCAAGAATTCTTTTTAATTATGAAAACGGTATCTATATGCTTGTAAGTAATTTATGGTTATTTTCATCTCATATAATTGAAAAGAGTAAAATGAAAATGTTAATAATAACAAAAATGTGTAGTGTATATAATTTTTTTTTTAGTTTTATGTGATATTTTTTTAACCTGCCTTAAGTCATGAAAGCCAGCAAACAAGCCCGGCAAATAAGGTACACTATCTTTTTCATAAATAGATCTGTAAAATGTTTTTCAAACAGCAGGTGGCAATCTCTGTAAATTTGATTGCAGCAGTACTATCTTGGCTCTATATGTGCAGATGAAAGACAATTTTAAAAGACCAGTTAAGAACTGTGGTATGCCCAGACTGGTTTAGATAACATCAAATATTGAAGGGGTTGATTTAATTATGCTTACTATTCTGTGAAATTTCTCCCTAGGCAAAATAAATGTTTTTGTTTAATACATCTTAATTCTTCTTACGCAGCACTGGAAGAATTTCACAGTGGTAATCTGAATAGGTATCATCCTCTTAACAACCCTGCATGCTGGTTACTTTTTATCATATTGAATTCATATGGTGTTAAGAATTAACAAAAGTAATTTTAGATTTTTTTTTTTCGAGACAGAGTCTTGCTCTGTCACGCAGGCTGCAGTGCAGTGGTGCAATCTCGGCTAACTGCAACCTCCACCTCCTGGGTTCAAGCTATTCTCCTTCCTCAGCCTCCTGCGTAGCTGGGATTACAGGTGCATGCCACCACGGCCGGCTAATTTTTGTATTTTTAGTAGAGACGGGGTTTCGCCACGTTGGCCAGGCTGGTCTCGAACTCCTGACCTCAGGTGATTTATCTGCCTCAGCCTCCCAAAGTGCTGGGATTACAGGTATGAGCCAACATGCCTGGCCCTAATTTTCGATCTTTTTTAAGCCCCCACAAAACTCCAACTGACATATTGTTACTCTTAAAATCCAGTTCTGTTGTTATTCTTAGTGTTGTACTGTGAGAAGTCTTTATAATACTAACTTTGGAAAAATACAAAGCTTTGACTCCTGGATAGCTCTTAGAATACCTTGGTTCTTCTAAGTTGAAACAATCATGTGAGATAAAGGCAGAAATTCATAGCATTCTGAACTGAAAAGGAACCTCAAAGATCTCACAACCAGCTGTACTCACTGTACCCCCAGGAATCAGACAGCCAGAGAGATCAGTCAGCTTGCTCACAGAGTTACTAGCAGCAACAGGATTCTAAGTGGGTCTTCAAATTCTCTAGGTTCAGCACGTTGGCACTATATTGTCAAATTTTAAAATTCTGTCCTATCACATCTTTAGTATACTTATAATATTTTTCTTAGGATCTCATTCTAAAATCCTGACTTTCACTTACTTATTGAGTCCTCAGTGTGTCAATAATATTTTAATGGAAGGTACACATGATTAGGAAGGAGTTTTTGTTCTAAATGATCCTGTAAAATATGTGCTGTATAATCTGGGCAGTTTCTGACCTTTCATTATTTTCTCTGCTTATATGTAAAATCTTTTAATGTAGCAGGACTTTCATTTTTTCATTAGCAATTAAGACTTTATACTTTCATTTTAAAATGCATTCCTCATAGGAATTTCCTTTGCCAATGAAAAATGGGGCAAACGCAAGTAAATGTAGATAATCAAGGTCACACATCAAGGTCAGAGTAATTAGCAACAGAACTTAAAAGCATCTGAATGTCAGCGACACTTCTTTATCTTCTCATTCATTTCTTATGTCTTTACATTTCCAGTATATATATCCTAAGGCAACTTGTTTTGTAATCTCCACAAACAAATATTTCACATGGAACGATTCTATGACACATAAACAGGGGATGCCCCACATAGTACAGAAACAAGTAAATTGCCACCTATCATTAGTAGTTCTTTAGTTGAGGAATATGACCCTTAACCAATGACAATATTTTTAAATCTTTTTTTTTTCACGTTATGAAATGTTTCTTTTGGGATAATTTGGGTTCATTCTCACCAGGGCATCGCTGCTCATTGCATCTTCTCACTTCTTCGCCCGTTCCTTCACATTGCTGCCCTGTTATCACTGCACCCTGACAGGTCCTTATTCGCCTTTCCCAGCCGCCATCACAGGACTTGGAACAACCACTCCAATGACCCCACTGATTCCATTGACCATTGGCTGAAAGAAATGTTTCATGGTCAATGTCAGTCATCTACCACACACTCCTTTAAAAATTTTAAAATCTGAGAATGTTACTACCCCTTCCATTTTTGTTAATCTACTACTGTGAATAAACCTTATTCAAATATTTAACTTACAGGTCAAATATAGAGCATTGCGAAGAACAGTGTAAAAAAGTGTAAAAAGTGCAAGCTCAGTGCTAAACTTCCTCAAATGTATTCGTAGTTCATCTCCTGAATTTTATTACTTTATTAGCATGGCATACATTAGAATAAATTCTGGTATAATCGGCTTCATTAATAAATACATGTATACACACACACACACACACACACACACATATATATATAATGATTATCTTCTTTCATGACCCTCTGGCATAGTTCTGACACATTTTATAATGTGCCCTTTACATGGTACGAGTGCCCATGATATGCAGGAATCAAGCCCTACCTGTACATTCAGGGTTATAGCACTCTCTGCTTTCTGCCCATGGCCCTCTGCATTCGGAGCCTCCATGGGCAGCTGCAGTGCACTGCCGGCTTCTCTGCTGAGTCCCATTCGAGCACGTTACTGAGCACTGGCTCCACGAACTCCACTCTTGCCACTGTCCATCAACTACCAAAGCAGAAAAAGAGACAGCATGAGGATATCTTCCAATAGGACAAGCTGTACAGAAAGTACCTGGTAAAACCACCCTTGAAGATGAACCCCAATCAATGGACTATGAATGAATACAATGGAAGGTCACACCAGCATGAGATTTTATTAACTCCCCAAATATTATTACCTTATTTTCCCACTTTTATTTTATTTTATATATCCAGCATATCTTTTTTTTTTTCATTTGGAGATGGAGTCTTGCTCTGTTGTCCAGGCTGGAGTGTAACGGCATGATCCCAGCTGACTACAACCTCTGCCTCCCAGGTTCAAGCAGTTCTCTTGCCTCAGCCTCCTGAGTAGTTGGAATTACAGGTGCCTGTCACCACACCCCAAAATAATTTTTGTATTTTTAGTAGAGACAGGGTTTTACCATGTTGGTCAGGCTGGTCTCAAACTCCTAACCTTAGGTGATCCACCTGCCTTGGCCTCCCAAAGTGCTGGGATTACAGGCGTGAGCCACTATGCCTGGCCTCCAGTATATCTTTTGATTCACTTATTTCTTCAAAAATATTTATTGATCACTCAAAGATGCAATACATTGTGCTAGGAGATGGGGTACATGAAATAGTGAACAAACTAAATACTGAGCAAGACCTTATCGAGCTCATATTTTAGAGAAAGAACCCCTAGAAATAAACCATGAATTACATGCTAGATAAATCAATTACATGGCAGTGTTGCAAAGGATAGTTTCAGGACATTGTGAGATAAGACTTTGGAAGGTCCAGAGAGTCTTTCTTGACAAACCGAGGCTTCAGGCAAGCCTTGAAGGATAAAGAGAACATACTTAGGATAAAGGTATGTTCCATGCAGAGGAATATACAAAGATCTTTGGAAGAAGAATCATGGGCATTTCCAGGAACTGGATGAAGGTCATTGTGAAAGGCATCTAGAGTGCTGAGTGAGGAGAGATTGCAGAAGTTTTAAAAAAGAGAGAGGCTAGATTATGAAAAACTTTCATCAGCTGTGTTAAGGATTTTGGATATTATTCTCAGGTGTTTAAGAAGCCATTGAACACGCCTGTAATCGCAGCACTTTGGGAGGCTGAGGCAGGCGGATCAAAAGGTCAGGAGATCGAGACCATTCTGGCTAACACGGTGAAACCCCGTCTCTACTGAAAATACAAAAAAATTAGCCGGGTATGGTGGCGGGCGCCTGTAGTCCTAGCTACTCCGGGAGGCTGAGGCAGGAGAATGGTGTGAACCCGGGAGGTGGAGCTTGCAGTGAGCCAAGATTGTGTCACTGCACTCCAGCCTGGGGGACAGAGCAAGACTCCGTCTCAAAAAAAAAAAAAAGCCATTGAACGATTTAAATAATACATAATACCATAATACTATGATCAGATCTAGTGTAGGATTGAGAACAAATTACAGAAGTTGGGAAGGATCTGAGCTGTGATGATGAGGCAGTGCAGATGCAGTGTCTTGGAGAGATTAGAAAGTTACTAGGAACGGGTGGTAAGAAGAAACTGAAGAACTGGCCATGGGAGCTGATGCAAAGAGAGGATCCAGGTGACTCTTAGATGGCTGTTTTCTGATGACTGGAATGTAATATAGACTGTTCAGCTTGATTTATCTTTGGGAGATTCAAATTGAGATTCATGTATTAATTCATTCAAATAATTTTGAGAATCTATTAGTCATCAGACACTGTGATAGGTGTTAACAAGATACACAGAAATAAAAGAATATAAATCCTAACCTCAAAAATTTTATAATTTAGGACATTCTGCATGCAAATGAATAAATAAATAAATAAATGTTTAAAGACAATACCATCTTAACATGAAACATGAAGTATTTAGGCTTTCAGAGGACATACTGCATCTACTGGGGATGTAATTATAATAGACACAGAGTGGTGAGTTATGGACAATTTAGACAAAGTCAGCATTGACAAAGGCACAATCCCATATGCCACAAAATAGAAATAAACAAAGGATTTAACCAAAAATACTTTCTAGATTAGAATGTGCAAACTAGCATGTAAAGGTTATAAATGCATCAGTCTGTGGATGTCTACTTTTTTCCAAGATCAGTTCATTGTTCTTAGTCAATTTGATCACAGGTGAAAGAGAATTCACCACAAATCTAAAGTTTCAAAATAAGCTAATGGTGCTATGAAAATCCATCCAAATAAACAAGAAAGCCTGGCAGAATATAATAAGTACTTTCAATCTAACTTCAAGCCTTACATGTAGGTATTAAAAAGAGATTGTTTAACAGGCATCCAGCTGTACTTAATAAACCCTTTATGAGATTAAAAATCACAAAATGCCAATTTAATCATTCCATTAATGTAATTTTAGCATCTCACTTTATTACAAGTGCCTGATACAATCATATTGGTTATGTAGTCTATTTTCCAGACTAAAAAGAAAATTCTAGTGAAGCAATAGGATATTATAAATTATCTATTTCCCCTCTATTTTGGCTTTAAACATGAGTGCATTTTTCATTTCAGAATTTTTCTATTCAAAGATAACATTTATTGAGCTTGCAGTATGAAGCCTCACCATCCTAAGCATTCTGAGAAGGGTTTATAAAAAGAGATTCATGCCCTACACCTTACAATCTATTTGGCAAAAGGATGTACAGTTATCCACATTATTGAGAACATTCAGAAAGAAAGCAGCACATTAACAAAGGTGAATTAGGTGCTGCTAAGCTAATCTTAGTGCTGAGTGACTAGAATAAAGGACTATGTGATGTCCTTAAGTATTCTGCTTTAAGGTAAATTTTGAGTATGATTTATTATGAATGCAATAGTTATATGTTTTCTGGCAAAGAGAGAATAAGAGTGTCTAGCAAAGTGTGGCATCTAGAATGTGCAAGTCAAATGTCGAAATCAGAGAGAAGATAATTTGGCAGGGGACTGTATTTCTATGAAGAATTAGGAAGGACCTTGCTGAGATGATATTAGGAAGAATGAGAACATCTATTTGTGAAGTGTTTTGCTCCTCAGGCTTTTACTGAAATAAGACTGCATCAATAATAATAAAATGTTTTGAGACTTTAAATTCATATATTTGTAGTTATAGTTGTTCAATCCTTTCTAACCATGTACATATTCTGTGTTAATGTTAAAGCTTAAGAGTGTTAATATTAGAAATCTGAGGAGCAATTTGAGGTTCAACGCTACCATAAACATCAACAAAACATGTATTTTAGATGGGGTCAGTTTTGTTCACAAAGTCAGTAACAGAGAAAATAATGAAATTGAAGATACATCAAGTGGGCATTTTTTGCGATTTTATTTTACACTGAGAACCAAAAGATCCTTTTTGAAAATTAATTGCACTTTTTTTTGCAAGCTTTTTAATTTTTTTTTATTATACTTTAAGTTCTAGAGTACATGTGCACAACGTGCAGGTTTGTTACATATGTATATGTGTGCCATGTTGGTGTAATTGCACTATTATGAAGGAATTGGCTTGACAAAATAACTCATTGGATATGAAAAACAAAAGAGGAAAGGCCTAATATTTCTTTAGTGTGTCAAGTCCAAATCATTGAGAAAATAGATAATTGAAAAGTCAGGTAGGAGATGAATATATAAATTTAACTTAAAAAACTAGACAACAGACTATATATATATAAACACACATGTAATATATACACACACATACATATATACAGACAACAGACATTTTATGTATATATATAATTTTTAGTGTCAAATATGAGACATTGTTTTATTTTTAAGTTTTTCTTTTCAGTGATATTCTGGATTAAAAAAAATTATTAATGGATTTGTTTTATGGGCCGCAGCCCCATAACACTTCTAGAAACACTAGTGTCATTTTACTGAATGAGAAAAAAATAGAGAACAGGGAGGCTTTGGGGGGGTAGAAATTAAGAGTTCTGTTTTGGATATTTAAGCATTTCCAGATAGAATTTGTGCATTATCTTTTAGGGATAAATGTAGAGAAATGTAAAAATAAAAACAATTTATCATATTATATATCTCTATTTCTTTTTTTATAAACACTCATCTAGGTTCTCCAAGATGTGAAGGAACAGCTTTTTTCTTGTTATCTGATGTTTAACTGGGGAGCTAAAGTGGTGAGGAAGCTGCTTCTCCTTCAACCCTGCAGGCAGGCTTGACTTTTTACCGGGCTCAGCAGCGAGGTAGTAGAGACAATCAATGTCTCTCCCCACTCAATGCCTGCTCCTTGTGTATGGCTTACTTCCAATATTTGTAAGAGGGACCTCTCAGGGTCATTGCAAACCTACGAATTTAAAAATACCTCAAAGCTTTCTTTCTGAAACTGTCTTTCTATTGAAAACTGATTCACATCTCAGCATTCTGTCAGAAAAGAGTTCCCTGGTAAGCTGGGAAAACGTAAACACTCCACAATCCCTCCTGGAGTCTCGTAACACACACAGGAGTAAAGATTTATAGAAAATTTAGTCTGTGATTGGCATTGCTCAACTGCGCCACGGGGGAGCTGTGGTGATAAGGACTGGCTGAGCTCTGCTCTTATGAACATGTAGTCTGGGGGCTGTAGTGGGGGCAGATGATAAACGAGTAAATGAATAAACCAGAGCGTTTCACTAGAGGTGTTATGAAGACAACGTGATAAAGAGGGCGATGTGATAGGGAGTGCTCAGGCAGTCTCAGGAGACGACGATATTAGAGCTGAGTCTGAATCACTGGACAGAGCCAACTCTTAATTTCCACCTCCCCAAAGCCTCCCTGACCTCCACTTTTTTCTTATTCAATAAAATGACATTAGTGTTTCCAGAAATGTTATGGGGCTGAGGACTGTAAAATAAATTCACTAATATTTTTTTTAAAATCCAGAATAACACTGAAAAGAAAAATTAAAAATTAAACAATGTCTCATTTTTGGCAATAAAAAATCTTTTACATGTAAAATATCTGTTGGCATGTGAAGATCTGTGTTCAGGAACAGAGAGAAGACTGGGGCTTGTGGGGATCCTGGAAAAGGAGAGGTGGAAAGAGATGGGTTCAGATGCTGTGCAGAAGCCAGATCTTATAGGGCCCTATAGGCCATGCGACCAGGGAAGATGCAAAGTATGAAAAGATTTTAAAGAAAAGAAGTGATAAGATAGAATTTACATTTTAAAACCTAATATTGTGGTTTTGTGTAGAACGGATGGTACAGGGGCAAGAATGCGTACTGTGAAATATTGGAGGACTATACTGTATGTAGTCCAGAGAGAGCTGATGGTGGCTTGAATTATGGTGGCATCAGTGGGCATAGAAAAAACATGGATGAATTTACAATGTTTTCTGGATGTAGAGCTGGCAGGTTTGTGGTAGGGTGCAGAAAAATAGAAAATTAAGGTTGACTTTTAGGATTTTGGCTTAATCAAATAGGTAAAGGGTTGATCATTTTATTGAACTGGGTTAGACTAGTGTTCAACAATCTGGGTGTCTATAGCCCTTAAATCAAAATTTCTATCTTTTTGAGGTTAAATTTGGAATGCCATTTTAGACACAAAGCAGCGAGTACTGCAATAAATAACCTTTGTTTAAAAATTTACTTCTCAAATTTAATTGAAATGTAATACCTAACTTCTTTTTTAATTCATAGAACACCATTTAATAAACAATGAACTAGAATACATAATTTCTTCTCTCATATGTAGCCAGGTCAGAATCAACACTTTCTTAGGCTGTTTCAATTTCTCTTCTTTCTCATCAGAAGCACTTGCAGTTGGAGGTATAAGTTTAAGATCAACTTGGGAAATACAGTGGGACCGTGTTGCTACAAAAATAAAAAATAAAGTTAGTTGGGTATGGTATTGCGCACCTGTAGTCTCAGCTACTCAAGAGGCTGAGGTGGGAGGATGCTTGAGCCCAGGATTCCCAGGTACAATGAGATAAAATCATGCCACTGCACTCCAGCCTGGGTAACAGAGCAAGACCCTGTCTCTAAAAAAACAGAGTACAACCTCTTGCTTTGGGCATATGTTGAGAAGCAAAAATCTGTCTTCCATTTGCCATTTTATACTAAACTACATAGAAGGAAAATAAAAATGCAACATCATTTTTAAAAATTAGAATTAAAATATAAACAAATGATAATGGTAAGGCTAAGAAGGATAAAAAAGTTGATAAGTTAAAGTTTGAATGAGAAAAAAATATTAAATGGTAAAAGAAAGCAAGCCAAAATTAATAAAGACACAATTAATTTAAAAATCTTTTAAGCTAAGAACTGAAAAAGCACTGGAATAATGCCCAAAATCTAAAATGACATAAAACAAATATAATTGTCATACAACAGGCTAGAAGGCTAAGAAGATAAAATCCATATCAATTAAAGAACAGGTTAATGAGGCAGTATTTGAGTTACAAATTATAACAACCTCATGCAAACACAATCAGGGACCTTTGAACCAAGTTCCAGCAAATGTTGAGAATCTTTCCATTCACTGTCTTCACCAGAAGGGCACCCTGCAGAGAGACTGAGGGCAGGGCATCCTCCCATAGATGCTGTAGACCAAAATTTTAGGTTCATAGCAGACTGAAGCCTCTCGCTCTATATAACAGAAATATTTGGGTCTACCTGTTTATGAGGCCCTACTCTTAGGTGATTCTTTCTCTCTTCTTAGAGTTTGTAAGAGTAGGAAATATATCTGGAATCTGCAACATGGCAGCATCCCTCTGGCAGGGTTTGGGCTCCCAGGAAAGCATTTCTCAAATGCAGCTTGACGGGTGTGACACTGCTCAGCTCAACAGACTGACACAGCTTGTATGAGGGTATTTCTTCCTAGCAAAAACCTGGGAGAAGAATCCCTTTGAGTCTATGACTAAGACAGTAGAGCTCAATAATTATCATAATACTCCTAGTTTATTTGACCTATTTCTTCCAAAATCTCTTAATTTTAAAGTAATATATTCATATAAATCATTAAAAAATCCTCTACATCGATTTTTTACTATTCAAAGTATTTCTACCTAATTATAATAATATGTCAATCCTGTAATATAGAGGGGTAATTAATACTGACTCCATTTCATAAAAAAGGAAATTGGAAAATAGAGTATATAAATTGCCCAAGTAAATATTTTAATTAAGGATTGTGACTGAACTTTAATCCATATCTTCTGAATAACACACCACTTTTTTTCCCACTGAATCATATAATTAAATCCATTTATATATATATGTCAGTATACAAATGAAGACTTATTTACCAATAGAACTTTCATTTATTTTAGTCTTTAATCTGTCACTCAATTACTATTTATCCTTGTCCCCTATATTATTTATACTCTACTGCATGGAAACATATCAGATTGAGAAGTGTCCACGCTGAAAACAGTAAGAACTAAACTTAAATCATTAGCTCCTCTAATATTCAACTACTGACTAGGGGAAAATATTACTATAAAGTAAAAAGCTATAAAGAAAATTAGCATAAAACTTCAGGCTTTTAACTAAGATCTTAAGCTTTTTATGTTCCCCGAAGTGTTTAATTTTGGAAATGGTTATATAAATTTTATTTTGGGTATATATATCTATATAATTTTAATGGCAGTCATACTGGAAAATGCAACTTTCCATTATGTGCGACACTTTTCTCCTGTTAAATATTAATAAAAATCAAGACCATTAAGGACAGAGGGTTCTAAAGTGATCAAATCACCGTAGAGGGGGAATCACCATAAAAAGACACTTACAGCTAGACCTAATTAGCAGCTTGCCTGATGCTCACAGAAAAACTGTTATCTCTAGTTAGACCTAAACCATATCAGAAAACATCAGTAGCATACGATGACACTTAAAAGACAAAAACAAGGTCACAGTGCAACTCACAAAGTACCAAATATTCTTCTTTCTCAGCTAATATAGTGACTGCTATTTCTTTACCAATTATGGCTGGTCTTCCCTTCACCTAGATGATTTATTAAGGTTTATTATCCAACCATAGAATTGTCACACCTTCCGAACAGCATCCGGTTCAGAACAAAGGCCGCTCGCTTCCTTAAACCCTCTGCCAAATCACTTAACACAAGCTCAAATCCCTTAAGTAATTCAAACACTCCATTGCTGAGATCCCCACAGTTCCCTATGTTAGTTTCCCCTCACTCTCAAGAGTAACAAATTCAGCTAGGTCAGCTACAGGTGTGATTCTGATGAACTTTGGTTGAAGGGCGTTAACATACTACTTCTAATACTTTCACAGTATTTGCTCCCTATCAGGTTCTCTACTTTACAGCATCTCACAAAGTCCACCCCATTACAATAGTATTACAATAGCATTACAATAGTAATACCCATCCTATGAAGTGGGTATTACTATTGTCCCCATTTTACAGATGAATAAACTGAAGATTAGATGAGTGACACAATTATATTAAAAGGTAAAAATCTAAATTTAAATATGTGTTCTCTTGCAAAAGTCCAAGATCACTTTCCTCCATCATATCAATGTATTATGAAACAGACATAGAAAATGTCCTTTAAATTTTGGGATATTAGAAATTTGGATATGTTCATGTCAAGAAAGTCCACTTAATAGTAATTTTTCTTGTTTCCACCAGGTATATATAGAGTTGCATGGAGAGAGAAACAGGAAATAAAAGAAAATTTATTTATCCTCAAATATGTAAATTATTAATTGAGAATTGACCATTAAGAAGTCAATTATCAATTAATGACTACAATGAAAATTCAGAGAAAATAGAAAACATAGTTTGGACCACCAGAACTTTGGTGAGATAAGTAAAACAGACCACAAAGACCACTGAACACACACATACACACACAAACATGCACCTTTCCATAATATTTTAATTATTAGTATAGATTACAAAAGAAGGAATAGACCACGTTATGTTTATGAGCCAGGAAATTCCTTTTGTTGCTCTATGCCTCTTGCCTGTCTTGCTTCATTAGTATCAGCCCCCTGTTCTCAGACAGGGGATGCAAATTAGTAACTAACAACTCACACTAGGAAATACTATACCTTCATTTTCCTTCCTCCTTATATGGATCCCAGGCAATGGTTTTCTCTCACCTCAAAAGAAGTGGGAGGAAGTTGTGCATTGACTCAGCAAGGAATCTGATAGCATATTATCTACTTATAGGTATATATCAAACTCTGAATACATAAAAGTATTTCATTGTTTGATACAAACAATGCATGTCATTCCTACATAGTGTCTATTTCGCTAGAGTGGTTTCATGCAGTTTATTAAAAGCAGGAAGCTTTACGACTATAATGCTTTAACATTATCCCACACAAAAATGTCACTGCCCATTATTACCACAGCCCACCCCGTCAAATCCTGCAAAAGTAGTGAGTAGTGGGAGACACAGTTTGTGGTTTTACATGTTTCTTCTGTCCTCCTCTTGTCCACACTCTAGTGCAGGTCCTGATCTACATTCTTCACTGCTGATGTACCTATCATAGCTTTATTCTTTAATATGATAGCTTAGGGATATCATGTAGTATGGTTAGAAAAAATGTTGCCTGAAACCACTGAATCCTCAAGTTACCATCTTTCATTGAAGCTAGCGTATTTATATGAGGTTTTCAGAAGTGCATTCAACTTTGCATATGCTTATGTCTGAATCTTCTGAATGGAAAGGAAAACTTTTGAAATCAGGGACTATATATACTTCTCAGCAGTGCCTTACATCTCATTGATAGTTGATGATGCTTTCATACCCAGTGAAGGTGCCTGAGTTCAGCTATAAGATGATGAGTTCTAAAGAGAATTTCAAATGTTTCCACCAAATAAACCTACATATTTTAAAATCATAACGTCGATTTTTTTGGCACAGCCTGGAAACTTAAAAAAATCCTAGTTATTAGAGTTCACTTTCAGATACTAAGTTCATAGGGATACAATGTGATAAGAATTCTACATCTTTTATGATGCAACTAAATTCAAGAATGAAAACAACGGAAGTCAGAAATGGCACATGATACGTTTAAGTACTCAAGGATATGCCCATATGTTCACTTATGAGAGACTATGAGCTAGGCTACATTTACAAATAATATAGTCATAATGCACAAAAACAAAGGACCTACATGAAAGAAAGCCATCTGATTTTATTGGACTTAGAGTGCTTCCAATGATAAGATAATACCACTAATATCCAAGTAGCTTAAAAACTTGTGTTACTACTTGAGTGATAAAGTTCCACAACCATATCAACTTAAGAAAATAAGTTTTCACATCTGAACTGTAACATAGCCTCTCTACTGATATCTAAGGATTTTGCTCCTAGAAAAGTTAATGGAAAGTAGACTATGAGAAACTTGGTTCACAATATTTTAACCAATCAATGCCATTTTTATGTTTGTATTTATGAAGTCCAGCTGACATAAAAGAAGTAACAAAAAAGTATTTAAAAAGTTTCTATAGTTAGTTCTTGTCTTTTATTTCTCCATATTGTCTATTTCTTTGCACTTCATGGACAAATAAGAGTAAACTATATTTGATTCTATGTAAATGTTACAGCTCAGCATTGAAAAAAATTTAAAAAGTATAAATTTTTCCAAATCTTTGTTGAAAGCACAAGGCATCACTACATATGTGTGTGTCTGCCTGCCTGTGTGTTTATAGAGAGAGAAATAAGACAGAATGTTACTGATCTCATAAATAGATTTTCTAGTACTGGTTAACAAATAAGTAATCATGGTTTTGACCATCTAATATTCATAATTGTATGAATATTAACTCATAAGTTACACTCATAATTCACAGAATTAATAAAATTTTAGGAAATATTTATATTAGTCAGTAAAATAATGTAATTATAATTATTTGCCTTCATCTTTAATTCTAGTCATTAAGTACAGGAACCTAGTAGTCCTTCTCTGAAGGGAACAATTAAGTTTGTTAGATGACTTTTGCATATCTACACATTGGATTGTTTTTCATATTCTTCACGTTTTATATATTTAAAACTTCCAGAAGGACTTTGAAGCATTGCTTCATAGTTCAGGACATTAACTTGGGGGTATTTAAACGGTCAGTGGGACTGAGGGTGAGTTTCAGGATATGTTTGGAGGACAACAGTACTGGGATCCCAGCTATGTTGCTTGCATGCAGAATATGTGACTAAATGGGCTAATGAGAAAATCTCCCCAAGAAGAGAGCGATTACTTATACTGATCTTTGCCATCTTAGCCTTTGCAATTATCCATTCATGTCTATCTCTTTCTTTAAAATGTGTCTTTGCTAACCCTGAGAGATTATATCATCTATGTGTGTGTATTTTCTTCTATAACTTGTAAGTCCTTTGAAGCTGGACATTATTCTTATTTATTTTGGAGGAATTTGTTTGATGTTGGAATAAACTAAATGACAGCATTGTGAAGGCTTCCCTCTAGCATAATGGGTGAAATTAATTATCAAGGATAGATAAAATAGAATAGAAACATTTTAAAGGAAAGAAAAATTTTAAAATTTAAATTTAAAATTAAAAATTTAAGATAACATAAATACACTCTAAGAACAGACTGTATAGACTTCATAATCCCATAAAGATTGTAAATTGTTTACAATTTAGCCATTTTATGCATCCAGCAAGAGATCTAGAAAGTCTGATTCCCTAGCACATGGTCAGTGGTACATTGCCACTCCCTAATTGAATAAGTGTAAGAGAATAACATAGGAAGAACTGGCTCTAAATCAGATCTCCCTAGTTCCAGTGTGAAGGCAATAATTAATCTCAAGTCTTTAGGATTCCTTGTAATTTTCCCAGAAGGAAAAAGCAAGTGCAGATAAAAGTCTTAGTGAAAAATATTAATATACACATTTGTAGAAATATAATAAAGGTAAATGTTGATTGACACTAAAGGACATATTCTACAATACTACATATGATAGAATCAAGAAAAGTACCCAGTTTTAGGCAAGATACAATGAAAAGGACACATTTCCCAACGTGACTGAATGAAGGTTGTACTCTTAATATTTCTTGTGTACACTAGGAATCATATAAAAAGCACATAATGCAAACATAACCAAATGCAGAATAGGCTCACCTGGGCAAAGAGCAATATTACAAGGCTTATGATGTGTTTCAGGTCCTTCACACGGCCTTCCTCCATACTGAGGAGGTGTGCATGACCTTGTTCTTGTTCTTTGGCCTCGACCACATGTAAATGAACATAAACTCCATGGTGACCATTCCTCCCATACTCCGTGTACTGTAATAAAGCAAAGAAGCTTCAACAACAAAAGCAGAGCAGTAAAATCAAAGATCATTTTCTTTATAATTAAAAAGCAAAACTCATTAAATAGACAAATGTAAAGATATGTTAAAACTCAGTTGAGATAACATTCTTATTTTTTATAAAATACAATTATTAATTTAAAAATTCGTTAAAATAATGAAAAATTGCATGTGCTTTTTTCTACATTTGAACAGTAATTCATGTCATAAATTTTAAACCTTTCCTTGTGTTTAATGGAAATGCACCTCTCTCCCTTATGGTAAAACAGTCACAAATTATTTTTAAGTTGAAGTAATATCAACTAGTAATATAGAAAACTAAATCTCTTATAACAGAGATAATCTCCTAGAGTTCAGTTTTTATTTAGATAGCCAAGGCCCAACATAATTCTCCTAACATTTATAAAATTTTGGGATTAATGACTTCTATTATATTAGAAAATTTTAAAAAATCTGAAAATTGAGAGTGCATATTAACTTTTAACATCACATTTTAGAAAATAGATTTTTTGCCATTTAAAAATGTGGGTTTAAAGTTACCATATTTTGAATAAAAAGAATTTCAAACAGAGTGTCTACTCAAATAAAATATTCCTCTTTGCCCTGTTTCAAAATGAATGGAAAATACGATAATCTCTTTCTAATGACGATGAAACCAGAAGATGCTTTTCCTCCTCTAACAACTTGATAGAACTGGAAATTTAACTAATTTATATAAATTTCTAAAGAAAATAATTATGCTTAACATAAATATGAATATATCAATTCTTCAAACATACTACTACAATGAATTCACAATTGATCTTAAATAACATAATTTGTGTTCTTTCAGAATAACCACTGTGAATAAGTATTGTTATATTTTGCAAAAGACCATGAAGATTCAGTATTTAGGCTGGGCGTGGTGGCTCATGCATGTAATCCCAGTGCTTTCAGAGGCCAAGATGGGCAGATCACCTGAGGTCAGGAGTTCAAGGCCAGCCTGGCCAAAATAGTGAAACACCATCTCTACTAAAGCTACAAAAATTAGCTGGGCATGGTGTTGTGTGCCTGTAGTCCCAGATGCTCAGGAGGCTGAGGCAGGAGAATCCCTTGAATCTGGAAGGTGGGGGCTGCAGTGAAGTGAGATCATGCCACTGCACTCCAGCCTGGGCAACACAGCAAGACTCCATCTTCCAAAAAAAAAAATATTCAGTGTTTGATCCCTTCCCTGCATGGTCAAATCACCACTCTCATCCTAATTCTTAATACTTGAGACAATACATAATAGCACCCTAATAGACAACATCAATAAAAAGGAATGAGAAAAAATGTGCTTTTTTGTTCAAAAGCTCCTGTCTTGATGTTGGACCTCTAGTCTTGCTATACTCTTAGAAGTTCAAAAGGCCAGATGTTTGATATGACACCCACAGATATGATTAAGGAGAGTAGAAATTTATAGAGGAAAATGACTCCCCAAAAAGTTCATTTTTTTCTTTAACATTGGTAAGGGTAAGCCCAGGTTCATAAAAAGTGGCAGATGAAATACGCAAGTAAATATAATACATCTAGAATTTTCTTCATATGTATGCTTAGCAAGTTGTTACTTTAGAAACACACATAGTATACCTTAATTGTGAGATACCCCATCCCTTTCTATTGGTGTTATTTATTTGCCTAAGTTAGTTGTGATAGGATGTTTAAATATTGAAAAAACAGCCAATAGAAATATTCAATGTAAATCTCTTTAAGATTCTGAGAACCTTGTTGGGAAATATAGTTTTAAAATAATATGTAGGAAAAAAAAAGAGGGTGACAAAAAATATGATGTTTTACTTTTTTCCCATAAAATTTTGGGAAAACAAAAGCCAATTTATATCCATTGATATATATATATATATAAAAGTAAGTCTATATTTAGCTCTAATAAAATTAAATATATATAAAAGATGCATATACTACCCACATATATAAATATTCATATATGTATATATGATCAATTATGGCAAAATAGTTTAAAAGTACTTACATTAATATATTTTGGCATATTAAATGAATATTTTTATAAACTATTGCATTTATTTCAAATTACCAATATTTCTCCTAAAACAACCTTTTCTCCTCCAATTTTAAAAACCTTTTCTCCTCCTATTTTAAAAACCTTTTCTCCTCCTATTTTCTCCTCCTATATAAAAAGTTAATGATGCTATGTAAAATTCATATTGCTGCTTCCGCTCATTTTTTTTTTCTGTCAAATCATACTGTTCTATATTGCACAATCCCAGAAAAAAAGGAAGATGCTAAATTGGCATATTTTCCTCCATGAATCTCAAAAAATGTTGATTAACCTTGATGGCTTAGTTAAATTATGAAACTGGAATCTTCAGAAAATTAATCTTACTTAATACTTTCTAACAGTCTTTATGGCTACACGGTAAAAGTTCATGGCTCATTCACATCATTTTAAAAAAGATTTTTTTTCATTTGACAAGGATACAAATCACTAACAATGTTATTTTAGATACTATTGAGTTAGTAGAAAATTATAGCACATTCCACATAATGTTTATAGATGCTATTCATAAGACCAATGTTAAAGATTAGACATTTTTATTTTAATGGCAAATTGTTATATATTTTTTAATTTTGCAGCAAAACATGAGAATCTATAAATGGTCTAGTTCATTTAAAATGATCCTAATAAAACCAATATATTTAAATGAAATTCCTTCATTTTTATAGTTTTCCTCCTTAGCTTAGGCATTAGCTGTATTATTATATGTCTTTTTGTGATAACTAGAGACGAAATGAAGAATATGCCATACACAAAATATATTCAACCATATTTTGAAACAAACATATATAAATTTTCTCGTGATTTAGATTGAGCTGTACATAAAATAAGTGAAAGGTTTCATTTTATTTATTTTATTTTGAGACGGAGTCTCACTCTCGCCCAGGCTGGAGTGCAGTGGCACGATCTCGGCTCACTGCAATCTCTGCCTCTCAGGTTCAAGTGATTCTCGTGCCTCAGCCTCCTGACTAGCCGGGATTACAGGCGCGCGGCACCACGTCTGGCTAATTTTTGTATTTTTACTGGAGACGGGGTTTCACCATGTTAGCCAGGCTGGTCTCTACTTCAGGTGATCCTCCTGCCTCCGCCTCCCAAAGTGCTGGGATTACAGGCGTGAGCCACCGCACCCGGCTAGGTTTTATTTTTTAAGAAATAAATGAATATAAGAACTATACATTTAGCAAAAAAAAAAAAAAAAAAAAAGTTCAAAAGCATTCCTTAGCCTGCAGAAACTTCTGCTACAGGATTAAAGTACATAAAGAGTACACCAGTGGCTCTCAGCCAGTGGCAGTTTTGTTCCCCAGGTGACATTTGGCAATGACTAGAGACATATTTGGTTGTCACAACTTGGGGGAAAGCGGGGGGCTACTGGCATCTAATGAGTAAAGGCCAGGTATGCTGTTAAACATTAAAAAAATACACAGGATGGACTCCCCCAACAAAGACTTATTGGGGTCAAAATGTCAGTAGTAATGAGGTTGAGAAGCCCTGGAATAAACCATAAAATTCAACTAGGGCAATAAATTGTGCTATTGAAAGTAGCGCTCTATTTTTCTCAATTTTCTTTGTTTATGTCCATTGTTTTTTACTTTGAGTAATAAAGGCTTTTGAAGAGAGTACAATGTCAAAGCAAAAATTCTGCTAAATGTCAAATACCTTAGGATCCATATTGAAGTAACATATTGCATAATTTAATTAAGGCAGACTTCTGAAATTTGAATATGGGTGAATGGTCACTAATTTATAACACTATTGATTAGATTTTATAGTACAAATAAATATAACTTCTAATTCTATAACTCCACACATTTTGTGGAAAGTGACTTTAATATTCAATTTGTTCATTTATTGTGTCATTTTCATTAATTAAATGCCAAATACATTTGAGTGTCCAAAATGTGACAAATCAGTTACTGATTTCTGAGTTAATTTTATTCTTAGGAATTTATTATTTTAGGAAGACATTTCTATTGTTTAAAACATTACATTTTAAAAAGTCACTTTTTGTCACTATTTTCAGGATATGTTAGATTGCAAAGTAAGTACATATTTACCTGCACAACAAATAATAACATAAAATATTTGAGCACAAAATATTTCATAACAAATACCATAACCAGATGAAAAAATTCCAATTCTTATAGTGGGGCACTTATTCTATATTTTTAGTTTGCTAAATTATCCTTTATGTTTGGAAAATTAAAAATAAATAAAACTTTTCTCATTTTCTTTACTTCAACATTCTGAACTAAAACAATGATTAAAAGATAAACTTCTTCTCAATGGTACTACTTAATCAAATTTAGAAGGAAAAAGACTTCATGCATATAAAGGTGAAGAGGGGCTAGTAATTGGTATGCAGTTCTGTAGGTGTAAGGGTAAAAGGTTTGAGTCACTTATGCCTAGTGTTCCATTATTGGAACACTAAGCATGTGGGAGTTATTTATATTCTACTGCTCAAGGTCATCACCAAGATCTGATTTTTCAAATTCAAAAAATTGCTACCTCAGGCATAAATGGGGACGAAAAACTTTAATTTAAAAATCTTTAAGTTATGGAATATTAGCCTTCTGGACATCGGACACAGTGCAAAGGTGGATTTGGCAGTTCTGTGGGGGAGAAGCGCTCTGATC
The DNA here is from genome assembly GCF_000001405.40 of Homo sapiens. Lineage (NCBI taxonomy): Eukaryota > Metazoa > Chordata > Mammalia > Primates > Hominidae > Homo > Homo sapiens. The sequence continues at coordinate 68,939,117 of NC_000006.12, read as the reverse complement.
CCACCACAGATGTTCTCTGTGAAGGCATTAATCAGTGGTCTCTGGTAGAAGGAAGGCAACTTTCATATGTCATCCTTATAAATGTGCATAACTAGTGGCTGGGAAGTAGACTCTGAATGGAAAATTTTTGAGAACACTTTCCAATCCACTCAGACTCACATTTGGAGATCCATTTGCCATAATACTATCCCTGTATGTTGAAAGGGTCTTGGCTATTCAAACACAGGCTGATTAGATAAATTTATATTTCAAGTACAGCATAATTCTTTATTGACATTTTTCTCATTGTCAAGGACATAAAACTTGATCCTGGATCTCCTTATTTCAATACTGTAAGTAGGGAACAGTTTTAAGTATTCTTCCCAGAAAACCCACTGTACCCACACCCAAATGAAAATAAGTATCTACCCTTGTGGTATGAAGATTTCATTTCTAAAACATGTTGGTCAAATGATATGTAATCACAGTTATCTAGGAGGAATAAATTCAAGAGATCTATTATACCGCATGGTGACTATGGTTAATGACTATATATTGCATTCTTAAAAAATGTAGAGAGAGTGGATGTTAAATGTTCTCAGCACAAAAATGATAACTATATGCAGTAATATATTTGTTAATTAGTTAGATTTAACCATTTCACAACATATATATATATATATATATATATATATATACCTCAAAATATCATGTTATACAAGATAAAAACATACATGTTACCTGCCAGTTTAAAAAATAAAATAAAATAGAATCCCCTGGTCCTTACTTCTACTTGTTTTTCTTCTGTTGCCAAATGTACCTAGAATCTGTCTGCTCTATGAATTCTGTTTTTAATCATATTTTTCATCTTCCCCCTTTCACAAACTCCTTAAACATTTTTTCTTGTGAATCTTTTTTTGTTTTTACTTCATGCTTTTTTCTTGCTCTAGTTTGATTTCCACTGAGCCTCACTGATTTTTCTTGTTCTTAGTGGCAATTATTACTCTTTGCCAGTTAATTCTGCCTTTCTTTCCTCATAGGTTTCAGTTTTCTGCCCTGCTTAGCTTTTAATTCTACTTCATCTACTGCTTTGTTAACCTCCCAATTCTATTCTAAAGGGATCGCCCACCTCATTGCATCATTCCTCCACCTTCTGCCCACCACTCTCTTTACTTTTTATTTCCTCCACACTGTCCTTTTTTATTGTGATAAAAAGCATATAATGTAAAATTTACCATCTAATCAATTTTTAGTGTACAGCTTAGTAGTATTACCTATATTCATAATGTTGTGAAACAGATATTCAGACTTTTTCATTTTGCAAATCTGAAACTCTACACCCATTAACAACTCTCTCAGACTGTCTTTTAATGGACCCCTTTGCATATTCTGCTGGAAAACTGACATTATTCCTGTTCTTACTCCGTGCCACCCACTCTCTATTCTTGCTTTTAGCAACTGTGGAGTCAGCCATCTCTAGAAATGGAACTTAATGAGAAACTTCTAAGCACAAGCTAGCAGATGAAAGGCTGCCGCAGTGCAAGTCACTTTCTTTACACCCATCCCCTTTTGGAGGTCCCTGGAAAGGCTGTGAATGCAAGTCCACTGTCAACTGCAGCTGTCAATATGTTTATAGTCACCCATCCACCACATAAATGGTTAGACAAAAAGATAAATCTGGAGATTCACAACATCATGTGCTTTGAACTTCTGGAAACAAAGCCCAGAGTCCTATTATTACTTATTTTTACATGAAAGTCTGTAGTCTGGGAGGGAGAAATGTCTATAATATGCATGCGTGCATCAACTGAAGAACAAAATTGTGATGTAACATGGAAAATCTGACACTAAGTGGGCATGCTATTGTTATGCTTCATTTAACATTAAAGATCTCTCTCTCTCTCTCTCTCTCTTCATTAAGTTTAATTTAAGTTTACAAAGCAGCGGATACCTCTGATGATGAAAGTTACTTTAATGAAATAAAATACCAAGAAGTTATTTGGTCAGGGACACTCTTTTCTTTGATAGGGTCAGATAAGTGATAGAAAAACTGCTGACTGCCTGACAGACTATGTCAACCACTGCCTTAAGCCATGAATATACATTATATTTTTAGTATGTAGGCAGATTACATTTTTCCTCAAGCATTCAATTGAACATTTTCACCATCTAAAACACAGAAAGATAATTGAACCTTAAATATTATTAGAAGTAGATACACACAGATTAGAAACTGATATTTGCAGTGAAGAAAGGAGCCATTTACCTAATTTGCTGACTGCTTTAAAAGCAGAAATAATCACAGACATCTTAAAATATTACAGTTGAATAATAATTACACTTATCCACTCTAATCAAAATGCCTATACCCGTTTCATATGAAAATAACAAATCGTTCCAAATGCGTAGCATGACACAATTCAATAACATCCACAGTTGTAGTTGCTGCTAACACTACCTGGACAGAGGGCAGTGTTATTGCAAACCCTTGATTCTCTTAATGGGCCGCTGCAGTGTGTCCCGTAAGGTGATACACAAGTTCTGGTTCGCACCTGCGACCCTTGACCACAAGTAACCGAACATGTGCTCCACTGGGACCACTCTTCCACACCAGATTCACCTGCGTGCAAGACAACAAATAAACATGAAATACTGTCTTAAGTATTCATCTAGTAAGCATTATACCAAACTGACATTATGACATGCAAGAATAATTTAAATGTAAAAATATGACCATACATCAAAAGGTACATGAAAACATTTCAGAGAAAATGAAGTTTAAAGACGAATGCATATAATGCTGATGCAAACACCAAGTTTTGCCATAACCTTATTAGCAAAATACTCTTCACAAATTACACTGTACCATGGACACTATGAAGGAACTAATGAGCATTTTTCAATGTGACTATTTGTTGAGGTGATTCTCTTCAAATTAATCTAAGACTTTGTATTTTGATGGAAAAGGAAGCAAAATATATTTCTAAGCTTACTCTATGGCTTTGGCGGCAGGAATATATTGATGTGTTCCTCCTTAGTCCTTTATTGCATAACACCCTTTCTAATGCTAGATGATGTGGAAACCTGGGAGCTTGGACGCATCTAATTTATATTGTATTGAGTACTGATATTTATAGTTTATTACTAGTGCAGTTCCTACTTTTTCATACTATGATAGCTGTTTATTTTGTGGTAATTTATTTAAATCCTTCTGCTAACAATTTCACCTATGATCTAGAGTAGTGATTTTTTAACTCAAAATAAAGAAAAATTTCTTGATAATTTTCATTAATTTGATATGGAATTAAAATTTATTTAAAATGGAGTTCTAAAAAGCTAATGAATGTCTAAATTCATTAATTTTCTTGGAGTTAGCATCTCAATAAAACTATGTCGAATTTCTTTTATTATGTCTCAAGGAGACTCAAAAGTCAAACATTTCTATGACCAACGAAATACACTTCTGTCATGGCATCATGTTCAGGATGAATTTTAAAAATTGATTGGAAAATTTGCAGTTGTTTTCTCCAAAGTCACACTGGATCATTTAGCTGCTAGCAGTTAACTACTTAAGTTAACCATTTAGTCATTGAAAAAAAATTTGTAGGTGAAATGTTTCTGAAAACTTTGTATCACTGATTAGTAGATCAAAGAGCAATTTAACAATATTTTATGTTTCTGTTTATAATTTGCCTTTGGAATAGAATTCAAAGGATAGAATATGATCATGTATTTGTCCATCGTTTTCTAGAGAGTTAGTAAATGACTTGAAAATTATTTGCAGTGCTACTCAAGGCAGCTGGTCCACAAACTAGTGCTCTAGGGAAGAAGGAGTTTGGGCCAGAATGTAATTCAACACACAGATTTTCTCAGTGAGAAATTTGTTCTAAAAATGAAATGTCAGCTTAAATAAAACCTGTGCTTGATGAAGTAGTTGGTTTTACATTCTGATGTAAACTGCTTATTCCTTTGAGAGACCATAACGGCCAGTTTGCGGACAAACACTGATCCACTAACCACACTTTGAGTAGTACCATTATGACGCATTTGCTCTTATATTGTTCTGCATCATGCACCAAGAGGCATAGATGACCATCTGTTTATAACTGGACATATATTGTAAGGGCACAGACAATAGTAACTGGGATGACAGATTACATCAAATGGGACTGCTTTTCAGTGTTGTGATCAATGTGACTTGAAAATAATGTATAGATAACCCTTCATCAATTCAGAATTTTTTTCTTCACAAATTTATATATTGCTAATTTCATAAAAATGTCCTTGGATGACTATTTGAATAACAGTTAAAGCCATGCTTCATAATTTGTTCTTTTACATTAAAGAATACTCTATCAAGATTGAAAATCATTATTCTATAAACCAAATAGAAGGATAATAGTTAAAAAATCCACATATATGTGTATATGTGCATGTAAATTTAGCAATAGAAAATTTAAGCTGAAGTTAGGGAAAATATAATACACTTTTTAAAATGATGTTCTGAACTATGATGAGATTAAGTGAGGTATAAATATTATGGTTGCATGTTATTAATTAAAAGTCAGAAAATTATGAACAATGTGGATTCTATAAGTGAAATGATAAAGGTTATGAATAAAATTAGTTCTATTTTACCATAAAAGCAGTCCTTTTCCTCTTGCACTGTCATAATGACAGAAAACATAATTTAACTAAACTGAGCAGTGAATTCAGATCAAGCCCTATATTTAAATTACTTTCGTACAAGTATTTAAACATTTGGGTTGCTTCTGAATGTATGATACTGCAATGATGCTGAACAGGCTAAGCAGTGGTGACTGGATCATGAGAGTTTGATAATGAATGCTCAGAATTGGTCTTGTCACTCTTCCTCTCTCTTCATTGATCAAAAATAAACTAAGTAAATAAATAAAACATTGGCTTTCAGATTTTGAATTAAAATTTTGCCAGTGAAATAGTGGCCTACCTATCAAAATGTTCTTGTTATAACTCAAATCCCATAGTTTCAGTGACATTTCCACTAAATACTTCTTTTTTCCCTGCTGCCACTTCCTTATTTATAAAAGTATGAAGAACATTCTAGTCAAGCACATTAGGCCATTGTGAGAATAACTAATATACATTATAAGAAAGATGTTAAAAATATTCAATGACATTAAAATAGTAAACTATAAGACAAAGTATACTGTTTTTAATATATGTATCTTTGGAGATAGTATGAACTAAAAGCTCTTTAGTCTAGCATGAAACACAAAAGGAAACTGGAAAAGCATTGCAATTAAAGTCAGAAGACCTGTGATTGATGGAAATCTACTGAATAATAGCTCTGTGACCTTGAGAAAGTCATTTTATTTCTTTGAATGTCTTCGATAAAATGAATATTATATTTACTTCAAAATCTGTGAAGATTGAGTGAGATAATATGTGAGAATGCATTTTAAATTATGAACAAAATATTAATATAAACTTTTGCTATTATCTTAAAGTCATGAAATTAGAAATGTACTTTTAATTTTATTTATTTATTCATTTATTTACTTATTGAGACGAAGTCTCACTCTATAGTCCAGGCTGAAGTGCAATGGTGTGATCTTGGCTCACTGCAACCTCTGCCTCCTTGATTCAAGAGATTCTACTGCCTCAGCCTCCTGAGTAGCTGAGATTACAGGTGTGCGCCACCACACCCAGCTAATTTTTCGTATTTTTAGTAGAGACGGGGTTTCACCATGATGGTCAGGCTGGTCTTGAACTCCCACCTCAGGTAATTCACCCGCCTTGTAAATGACAAAGTGCTAGGATTGCAGGCATGAGCCACTGCACCCAGCCTAATTTTATTTTTTAAAATTTTAGATAAAATGCTACATAGTCCAAATTTAGGCTATTTTCCTCACGGTAATGAAAGACTGCTTTTCTAAACATGTTTATAAATTAATTGATGACTATGATGCTTAAGCATAAGAAAATGTAACTAGGATATCTTAAGCCATCTTATTGGCATTTAATTTAGATGTCTATATTAAATATATATATTATATGATATCATTTAATTTTATATTCCTTAATAATAAATAAAGATTGCATGATAGGCTATTAGAGCACCATCATTTATATCCAAACTATGCTACTTTATCAAATGTTACTCTTTTTAAAAAAGTCACACTCACTTTATCACTCTGTAGAAAGATTGCTTTTAATTACAATCTTTTACTGATCATATTGATTGAAGAGGCCAGTTTACTCATTTTGAGAAGTAATTCTTAAATATTAAAGTGTGATAGCCTTTGCTTTTTTCTCCATGATTAATATAAAAATATATTGTCTTTTATTATTATTTAAATGTATGTTTTTGCCTTATTCTTTGTTCTCAAATTACTGTTAACAAATTTTATATTATTTATATGTTACAGTCTTTTTTCTGGCTTAAAGACAAATACAGGGAACACTTTTATAAGTAAAGCTTAATTTTTGTAAAATTTTATTGTGTGACACTTACCTGTATTTATTCAGACTACCTTAACACCTTAAAAAAGTATAATCTAGGAAAATATTTAAGGAAAAATATTCTTCTCTTTTTCACATTATAATTGTCTTCTGTTAAAAGTCTTATACATGTATTTATGTTTGTCTATACTATATTTGGTTAAAATAAAAGAATAAATATTTATTATTCATCATTTTGAAATTAGTAATTCCTTACTAGGAAAACACAATGTTCCTTGAAATTTGAATTTACCAAAAGGGTTTTGGCTGAAAACTGTGAATTGAACTATGTCACAGACAAATAAAAAAAACTTGTACAAAAACTTTTGGCTAAATTGCATAATATTTACACATAAACTAATCATGTTACGCTATTGGAAATTTAAAACTATCATTTTCCATTTCACTTCCTATTGACTCCAATTTTTAGGAACTTCAGTAAACCAATGCCTGCCATCTCTTTTGCACAAATAAAATACACCTTTTTTAATCTTGCAGAAATGCCCCCATTAGATGGTGCCGACAAAGATGAGTAGTCAGCCCATGCCCGTGTGCCTTGACTTAATGTCTCTAATCTCTGCTCAGTGGTTGAGACTTTTTGCTCCCTGTAAAGGAGAGAAATACATTTAGAAATTTGGAAATTTGCCTAAACCTGATAATGCACTTTTAGACTTGTTCAAACAAATAGTAAAAATAAAAATCAATTTTTCTTAAACAAGAAAGTGCACAAAAAGGGATCCAGATAAGCAAGTTTCTACATTTCTGTATTTGGTTGCAATATATATCTCAAAAAAACTAAAAGTGAATCCTTGTAAAATTTATTTTAAACTTCTTGTTCTGAAAATTTGACCTCCTTACAACTCAACTAATGTATCAAAATCTTCTACTCACCCCTTATTAAGAGCAAAACTCATTAACAATATTTGCATTTTTATACTGTAGATTCAGATCTACTGTTCTAAAAACTATTATCTTAAGAACATGTGAACTGAAGGAAATATTCATTTCTTGGGGGAATTTCATCACTATCAGTCTAAATGTCATGTCAGGAAACTGGTCATGTACTTGAAACTTCTGTATTAATGGCAAAACATTGAGATGTATACAATTTTTTAAGACATAGATAAAACTGTTAGCTTTCAATTTCCCAAAATAAAGGTGACAATTGAAAATTTACATAACAAAGTTGAAACACTTTTTAAGGATGTACTACATGCAATGTACTCAGATGAAATTAGACCATTTATTGTGATAAGAAAAAATATGAATACATATATTAGTTCAAATTCTGTAACTAAATAATGGGCATAAATTATACATACTCCAAATATTTACAGATATATTTGGAGGGAGGTTTTTAAAAGTAATCTAATTAATTTAGAATTAAACATTTTATAAAGTAGAAAGTCAGTTTAGGTTGGTATTTAATTAGATGGAGTGTGTTACACCTTACTTAACACTTTCAACTTTTTATTATTTAGCTTATATAACAAAACTCTTTTCAAATAAAAATTATTAAATTTTTTAAAAGTTTATATTTTCTGTGCATTTTAACAATAATTAATACAAGTAGGATCATACTTGAAAAAATTCAATATATTCAATATTGTTAAAATAAATTTCATTGTCTAGAGTCATTTAAAGTTCTAATTTTTGAAAGTCTTATGTCAATCAATTATTGAAGAAATAACTTTGGCTGTCTTTCTTTAAAAGTTTAATGATACATTTTAAGTAGTTAATTAGCATAAATGCTACTATGTAAATCCTAAATGTCCCATACTGAAAGCAAAATAATTCTTACATAATTTTTGTGCACTTTTCAATTCACAGCTACTTTATTTATGGACTTTAACTGGTGACAAAAAAAATGGCTCGAAAAAATATCAGCTCCAAAAACTGACAAATGTGCAGCAAAAGATTATGAAAACATGCAGTGGTTTCATTAAATTAACAACAATAAATAGAAAAATGTAACTAACGTATTACCAGTTTGTGCCATAAATTTAGCAGCATCAGCTTGTTCCTGAGGGACCCTTTTTTCATGAACAGATCGAGGTCGCTGACTTTTAATTGTATGATCTCCCATCATTCCAAATTCTAAAGACAGAATAAAGGTATATGAAAGCTTGTGTGTAGACATTTCTCACAAATTACATTACTGTCTCATGCAATATGTTCCTATACATACCTAGAAGATAATTATTAAATTCACAATTCTAAACTTGCTAGGCTAATCTGCTTGGAATATCTCTAAACTCAAGTCAGAAAACCTATAAACATGAACAAGATTTCAAAAAACAGTAATAGTCAATAAAATGACACAACAGATTTTAAGTGAACTTAACAGAGATACTGTACTCTTTTCTGATAAGGTTTTGAAGTAACACATAAGAAAAAAATACAACCACAGTGTTAACTGTTGTTTTTTTAGAGAGAGAATCCTGACTTAGTTGCATCTGCTTCTTTGCTAAACAACAATCACCCCCAGAAGTTTGTCAGCAGTTTTCTTGTTACTAGATTACTCAGTCCTGTAACTTATATTTTCTAAGGTAAACCCAGTCACTTAATAGACTACCTTTTTTTTTTTTTTCATCCAAAGATGAGGTTGCCCTTGGTGTTCTCAAAGGCTCATGGAATATAGTGGCATTGTTCATTCTCATTATTTCCTTCCCTGCCCCAATTAATTCCTCCCCCCTTTTCTAATCACATGTAAGAGAATATTTTCTCTTTTAAAAGTTATATTTATAAAATTTATTGTTTCTAGCCTTCTGTTATTTGATTATTTGATAGTAGAACTTTCAAGAAAGGCAGAAAAAAAATGTCTGGTACTAATTCGGGAACAAATGGAAGAAAGAAAAAAATTAGTTGAGTAAAAGAATACCTTCCATATAACATATTTTTAAAAATTCATATTCTTAGAATTCTGCAAGAGATCTGTGCTTATTGAACTGTGACTGAAAAGTGGTTTTACTAAAATCAGAGCCTAATATATGGAATAGTTGTTGGTTCTGTCTCATAGGAGTTTAGATATGGGAAGGGAATACTGAGGGGCAAGAAATTGTGCTGCTATCTTTTACATCAAGAAAACTACTAGGCCCTTAAGTCCAGGTCTCTTAAACATGACAAAGATGACTGGGTGAAGTGTGTTCCAGTGACACTGCAGATAGTGTAATTAAGCTGTGTATCTTGTAAGCACTAATTCTACCAATTCTTGTATGGAAGGAGAAAAGACTAGCACACATTTTCATCTGTCCTACCAAATCCTCACATAAAAATTAAACCATGACACCTGACTGATGTGTCAGAAATTTTTTACAGATAATCTACTCAAAAGAACATCCTCTGAGAAATCTGAGAAATCTAAATGTGTGTTTGTTTTTGTCAGGTGAGAAAATATCCAAGGCAGAAAATGTAAAAGAATAGCTTCTATGTAATATATTTTAAAAATTCATTTGCTTAGAATTCGGCAATATCCTACACTGTAGCTGATTCTGCTTATCAATAACAAAATGTCAGTGGGTTTGACCTTGTAAAATCCATCACTATTTTCCATTACCGCCAACATCCTTTCATTCCATTCAGTTATGTGTGCTGTATGTGGTGTCTAAACCATGTTTTGCCAGGCCATAAGAAGTATCTAATCACTCATTTAACAATTTTGAAAATGAACAATTTAGGAATTTTATATCTAGACTGACTATCCAATATTTTCAAATATTATATGCAATTAGAATGTTTCTGGATATGAAATAGCACCGGAATTTAGTAGTAATTTTTTATCAACAGTATGCTTCACCTTATTTCCTCTTGAATTTGTATTTTAAGTTGCGGGTATGTCTATTGTTTTCAGCATTTATGTCAGAGTACAGGTTTACATAAGTCATCTGGGGGCTCTGATGCTCACACTAAGGTAATTTTGGCACTGAGCAGGCAAAGAATGCTGAAAAGATTATTTCATGCCTACAAATTAATTATGTAGTAAATAACTGTATAACCTGTTCTGGTAGAAGGTAATTCTTCAACTCAGTGGCAGCATGATAATAGGCTGAAATCTCTCTTCTAAGGAAAATGGTTTATTTTTAATAGAGACTATGAACTTGAAATTTAGAAGGTCTGAGTATGTCCGTGGGTCTTGGTCTGTCACCCAGGCTGAAGTGCAGTGGTGCAATCATAGCTCACTGTAAACTTGAACGCCTGGGCTCAAGTGATCCTCTCCCTTGCCTCAGCCTCCCAAGTAGCTAAGACAACAAGCACCATCCACCATGCCTAGCTAATTTTAGTTTTTGTTGTTGTTGTTGGAGCAGGTCTCACTATCTTTCCCAGACTGATCTCAAACTCCTGGCCTCAAGGGATCCTCCCACCTCTGCTTCCCAAATTGTTGGGATTGCAGGTAGGAGCCACCATGGCCAGCCTTGGGATGATTTTAAAAGTGTCACATTCAATTTTTAACACTTTCTTAAGTTTAAAACAAGTTGAAGTGTTCATTTTTTTAAAGAATAGAACGAATTTAAGTAAATCATTTTATATTGTTAGTTGGAATGTGATTTACATCTCTTAAAATATGTGTAATGCAAATTAAATTTCAATATCCTAGAAATTAAATTTCAATATCCTACACCGTAGTTATTTCCACTTATCAATAATCAATGTTATATGAATACTAGTGCTGATAGTTTATCATGTCACAATATTTGCGATAAGAAATTCTTCAATAGTTTATGAACTTGATTACAAACTTATTACATAATCAGAAGTTTGAATTGGAATTGTTGATTATTGTTGTACAACAATATAATGTATCTGAAAAATTATTTTGAAAAAATAAGAATTAATATGAGGTCCTGATGTAACTAAATTCCTCATAAGAGAGAAGATATTAAAAATTCATTCTTTTTTTTCAGATGGGAAAACAACACTATGGTGGTATTTTTTTGAATATTCCACATCCATTGTTCTAGACTTAATTCAAATTTGTAATTGAAATATATAAACTATTACCTAACCAAGTGTGTTTCTTCTGCCAAAGTTTACGTCCCATGTTTCAAAATAAAAATCTTCTTTGTTTTAGAGTTGCTATTAACAGTAAGATTTAACAGATAATGTTATGGTTCTCTCCATACCTTGCAATGGGGTATTTTAAAAACATTTGTGCTGTCTTTCAAGATGGCATTATCTTCTTCACTTTTAATAAAAATTTAGGCCAATTGGATCATCCAAACTTAGGAAAAACCAATTATTTTTGCTATTATTTTATGTGGTGAATGTGGGTTGAGGTAAACTTTTAGCATAGTAGGCTTTCTGAATAATATAAATTCTTCATGGGTGGTTGATTCATATTCAAATGATTCTTAGTTGGCAAAGATAATATATTACATTAGTTACACGAGAAAAAGAACATAACCAAATAAAAAGATGATCTGCTTTGGTGAAAGCAATGGAAAGCAAGTTATGAAATCAAATGAAATAATGTATAGCATAACATTATGTATGTACACATGGTACATGGTTTATGAATATACAGGGTTATTTCCTATATCTTTATGTTGATGTTATCAATGAAGTGGTGGGTAAATAACTATGTTCATGTATAAAACCCAAATGATTAGAGATGACTGCCATGTTTAGGCACATTTTCTCAATCTTTCACTGTGCTTCTTGCTAAAAAGCAATAGGCTCTGGAAGTCAGATACAATCAAAGTTACATGAAAGAAAAATTTTAAAAATAATTTCCTTCAGTACAATTTTATGTCATTTCTTCCCCCATCCAGGAATATGTAAGTAGATCATTAAAAAACAAATAGACTTAAAATTTGACTTTTGATAGTCAATTATCAGTTATAAAGTTTTTGTCTGGAAATTAAAGGTCATAATAATGTGAAATCGAATTCATTAAAAAGTTAAAACACAAACACATATCCGTTTCTTATTTTACCATGTGTATTTTTAAACATACAGACAAGCACATCGATAGATGAGGAGATAAGAGTCATTACTGTAATCTATCTAGCAATGGAAATACTACTTCACATTGTTAGTTATCTTTTGTTTACGTGTCCACTGAAGTCATCCTCACCTAGGCCATTATTGCTTCTCAATAAACTTTTTGAGTTACGTCCTACTTACATTGTGTGGCCAAAGTGGACTACTTGTTGCTATGGGATTCGTAAAACCACTGCACCGTTTCTTACATTTTCCTAAACTTAAAACACCTGCTTTTCTAGTGATGCCTGCAAGTAAATCTCTCACCAAGCCTAATTCAAATGGCACCACCTCCATGAACTGTCTCCTCATTAACTAAACATAAACAACCTCTGCCTTCCTTAACTTCCATTTTTCTTGGCTTTGAATTAAAAATGGACTTTCATTATAATTATTAGATTGTCTTACTCTTCCTAGCAGATTAAAAACTTCTAAGGAAAAGGAAGTTTTACTTATGAATTTTAAAATCACCTCCTGCTTTGGACATAACTGAAGTTCAATATTTATTTATCAAACAAACAAATTTTGCATTAGGAATTGTTTCTCCAAAGTGCAAGTTTCTAGATGTCGAGAACCATTTCTTTAACTTGCTTAGTTCAATGGGGAGAAAAACAAAATTATCTGTGAAGTACTTGAAAATTAGTTATGTATGATTATGATGGTCAAAATTCCTGCTGTCAATAAGGTTATTATCCATAAATATTCAGGTTATTATTAAAATAATTGAAATACTGCTTCATTTGAAAATTAAGTGTCACTGTCCTGAAACAAAGCTTTATTTTTTAAATAAACATTTATTAATTAGTGTCTTAGGAACCAAAGTTATAAAGATGAATCAGAAATGGCTTCTGATATTCTAAAGCTCATAGTTCAAGGAAATCCATTATACATGGCCTGATCCTTTGAAATATATAAAACTATTATAATCAAAATATTATTGAGCTACATTTGAGACTCATTTTTTATATAAATTTCCTAAATACTGGAATGCCCTCAACTACAATGACTTGCTAATTTGTCTCCAAAGAGAAAATAAAAATAATCTTTTAATATGTCGCCAAAGAGAAATACAATTAAATCTTTCAAGCCATACAATCTTACATTAGAAGTGGTATCTCATTTATCACAACCTAACAAGAAAGAATATTAAAATATGATTTGCTGACAGGTGAAAGATTCCATCATCTGACTGGCTTAAGGTATGGTAGGCAAGTAAATTCTGTTGAGAAGCACCCATATATTTTCTGAAAAATGTTATTAGATTTAATGCCTTATAGGCTCATATTTAGGCAGGAATATAAATTATTAAATTTGGTCATTTAGAAACAGAAGTGGCACAGTGACTTTGCATGAAAATATTTCCTGCATACTGTAGTTGGGAGATATTTTGATAGTGAAGAGCAGCCCAGATTGTCAGGATTTTGGTATCTTTCTAATTTGTAAGAGTTTGCCTTGATTTTAATAGTGTTTAAAAATGTTATCAGATTTAAAAATTGTATTCTCTCATTTGATATTTTTTAGTACCTATATAGCCAAGTGTTCTGTGAAAAGATAGAGAGGATAGGAGAAAAGACTGGAGTTTATATAATCAAAAACATTTCTACAGTTAGCATGAACTGAATACAATTTTTAAACGGATATTTTACTACTGATTATAAATATACTAATTTCATTTCCCCATAGAACCATAAAAAACACAATAGATGAGGGAAGAAAACTTCTACAAAATTCAATAATGACAGTTATATAATAAATTAATAAATATTGGGATATATTTACATAAAATAAGATTAATCAATATTAAAAATAGTAGAAATCTGATAAATATATCATTAACATTTAAGAGATTAACTGATGCTCTTTCTTATTATTTCTTGGTTCCATTCCCAAAGCTAGATATGTGGCTACAGGGCCCAAAATGCTATTTCTTACAGTAACAAAATGAAACTTGCTTTCCGAAATACTTCGACAGAAATGATTTCGTTGGGTAGCTGGGCGTAACTCTGTTAAGCAAATGAGTAATTTTAGGGCACTTCTAAAAATGGATAAAACATGAAATAGTCAAAGGGCACACTGCTAATATGTTTATAGAAAAGTTAAAAATGTTCAAGAGTTTTCAATGTTGTTACATTATGTTACTTATAACATTTTGTAGAAGTGATTACCAAATATATTCGGTATATTTAGACAATAATGCTGTATTTATTTAACATTACTCCAAGTAAAAATGATGAAATAATTACATATAATAGATTTTCTTTTGGAACTCCTCAAACATTTGTTTGAAGATTATGTAATGAAATATTTTATGAGAATGTTTCCAGGAAATTCAGAGGATAAACCCTTAAATCATTATTTTTATATTTATTCTGTTTGCCATCCAGGAAATGTTAGTAAGCTGGACACACTCTTCCATGCAAGAATTCATCAATGTGTGTAATCAGGCAGGAATTATTTGTTATTTCTTATCCATTATGCAATTGAATGTTAATATCTCTTTCTGAGACAACTACTGAATTCTTATAAATCAGCAGTAATAGTTTGCTTAAAAATATGTTTTATTTGTTGGTGATGAGAAGCACATAAACGACAAATACAATTCTACTTTCAGTAGTACTAGCAGTTGGATATTTTTTGTTGTCGATTTGTTTCAGACCTTAATTTAGCACATTAGCATACCAGTGGCAAAATAAGATGATTTACTATAATTGTTAACACCTTTACAGCAGACTAAAACTCTTACAGCATACAATTGTAATAACCTTGTTGCTAATGTGTTTCTTGACAAGATCTTAGAAAGTCAGAAATATAAGAAAGTAAACTGAATTGTCCCTGGATGGTTATTTCTATATTTTCCAAACTAGAACATGGCTTGGTTGCTTTTCTGCCAAACTTTCTGACATGCACACTCTGTCTTCAGAGAAGATTTTAATAGGGGCTACCAAAAGGATGGACAATTCTCTTAAAAGTCCAGTATTGTACTTTTAAATTCACCAAAGCTCATTATCATTTATTATAACAGTGCAGTGTAGAATAATTTAACTTAAAGCAATATCACTGTATACATATTTACTGAAATAACTTAAAATATTCCATAAAATAATTTGTACATTATTTTATAGTACTACTATTGGTACATTATTAATATATTATTAGCACAAAATAAATGCTACCCTACAATTGAAGGTTAAAGATTTGATTAATGGTTGCTTGACCAAAAAAATATAAGTGGAGTATGAAATGTCTTCTTTTTTCATAAAACACTGGTATTTAGGTAATTCTGGTACATCTTTATTGTACTTGAATTACAATCAATTGAGTTGAAAGATCTCAAGGCTTACTTTTTGTACGTGGAGGTAAGGGAGAAGGGTTTCTTCTGTCTTTTACATATTTTTACTTTACCTATTATATTGATATAAAAATGCTTTATTAAAAGAGAATCTAGAAATACCAAAGTAGTTCTGGTCATGTTTTACCATTTATCTACCACTATATTTTAGTTTATTACAAAAAGTTTTAACTTAAAATAGTATCTTTTATACACATTTAATGAAAAGTATCAAACCTGACTTTCTTAATAAGAATGATTCTACTAAGACATGTATATAGCGTTTATAATTTCTAAAATAACTCTAATTCCATCTTAACTATTCCCTTAACCTTTTAGCTTATTTTTCAGAAATGAACTAAGATCATGGAAAATATTTTCAGTATTTTTCTACTACGTAAAAATTCCTTTAATCAATTAACTAATCTTTGAGCTTGTTTTCATCAGTCGTTATTATACTAAGGGACAAGTGGTATTCTATAGAGAGATCTACAAATAATTAGCATTTTCAAAGCTGTGCTTTACATACTAAAGATAGTTAAGACCATTTTAACTGGGATGAAGGTTAAGGCTCAACGTGGAGGGGTGGAAAAATAAATAAGCAATCAGGAGATGCAGCTCATACTTCAGGGCATCACGCCTTAAATTCCCTGCACCTGTTTCCTCCTCCTGCAAAAGGAGATACCGGGAACATGATCTCTAAGGTCTCCTTATACTCTAAAATTACATTTTTTTCTCAGATTGAAAGTTGATTCATGAACATATAGGCTATCTCCCAGCAGACCAAGAGTTGTAGAAGACCTGGTCAAGCTCGATGAACAGGTCTGTACACGAATGTGTGCACATGCACGAGTCTGAGTAACATAAGAGTTGTTTCGTTTCCTCAAGACATTTTCTCAAATCATTCAAGGTTGAAGTTATTTCGATCCACATCTAAGCATTAAATCAAGGTTTACCTTGCATGTGAAATCTCAGATTGCCTAATACTTATTTTAAAAAGTACATCTATGCTGTAGCTGGCATCCACATGAGACAGAAATTTTTTTATAAGGGGGAATTTTATCAAAGGCATTTGGGAATGAATACATTTCACTCATTCAACAAACATTAAATGAGCACCCATTACATTCCACACAGGATTCTCAGCACTGGAGATGTAGCTGTGAACATAGCAGACAAAAATCTTGTTTTTCATAGAAAAACATTATTGTTATCCCTAGTCTGATATAAAAGGCTTATGAAATATTGAATGAAAATTAAATTAACAAGCCAGTGCTTTAGGAAGGTTAGCAGTAGTTATATATACATTTCTCTTATAACTAACTTTTAATTTAGTTTTTCATTCATAGAGTACTTCATATAAAACCAAGTGCGTATCTCATCCATTTTATTATTCCACAAAATTTGTTTTAAAGCACCATTTAAATTAAAACTGTGGACACAAAAGCCACGTCACTACGACACAAACGATATTGCGGTCTTACTGGTCTTTGTATTATGCTTACAGTTTTCTCTCTTTTTAATTTTAATAGATTTTTTTTTGTTATGAACCAATCTAGTCTCTCTATACCTCAGAAGATAATATCTGTCCTTTATCAGTCTATCCTTCTATTCTTATATTATATATTTTATTATTTTTATTTTTTAAAACTGCCCAAGAAGATATAAATGTACTTGAACTACATCATTCCCTTATATTTCCCTATTGCTAGACATATATGTTGTCTTCAAAGATTTTTCTACTTGAAGAGGGTCTCCTAAAGTGGTTTTGCTGTGAGGAATCACAATTTAAATTTTGTTAGATATTGCCACATTCCACACCCCCCACCGAAGTGTTTAGTGTTTAATCCTGACATATTTCAGTACACGTAGTGTTGGCAGGGCAGACGTTAACTCTTCTTCATCTGAATCTATTTGATTTCTATCAACATACAACATCTCTCTTCATTCTGATTTGTGCTTTTCATGTTACTCCAATTTTGTCTGATATTATTATTCCTGCCTTGTTGATACACTTGTCTGCTACATCTTTTTCTGTATTTTATTTTCAGCCCCTTAGTGTCATTTTGCTTCAAGCATGTATCTTTTACATAACATATATAGTCGGATTTTAAAAATCCCATCTGACCCTCTTCCTTTTAATAGGGAATTAAACCCACTCACATTTATTATATTTATTACGATGTTGAACATTTCTCTTCTGTCTTATTTTAGAGTTTGTCTTTACCATGTTTTCTTGCTGTTTATTTTTTGCCTTTTCCTAATTTTTTTTGGATTGATAGGAATTGCCATTGCTACTTTTTTCTCGAGATATCCTAATTTAATTATTTAAAAGTGTTATACCCTAATTTTTTACATATACATAAAGCGTATTTTTAAAAATCTGTCAATCTCTTTAATTAATCAGCATCTATAGGCTTTTCCAACCAAGACAATAATTTGGGTCTGCTATCACTTCCCTTTCTTCCTTTACATCCATTTGTCATGTATTACCAAACCATTACATTTGTACATTGTGCTTTAATAATTTAGATTTAACTATTAGATTTTTTTTTAGTTTCTTCATTTGTCTTCTTTTTTGGATTCATTTATCATTTTGTTCAATATATTCTTTCACAGAGAATGGGCCAAAGTTGATTTACCTCACCCTGACACGCTTGAACGTTAGTCTGGCAAGCCTTAGAAATTTAGGGTTAAGTTTTTTTTCTCATTAAACTTTGAAGATACTTCTCTACTCACTCGTAGTATCCAGTGTTGCCCACGAGTCTTCTTATAAGAGAACGACTTCTATACCTGGAAGATTTTTAGGACTTTTTTTTTTTTTTTTTTTTTTTTTGATACAGAGTCTCTGTCGCCGAGGCTGGAGTGCAATGGCGGATCTCGGCTCACTGCAAGCTCCGCCTCCCGGGTTCACGTCATTCTCCTGCCTCAGCCTCCGGAGTAGCTGGGACCACAGAGCCCACCACCACGCCCGGCTAATTTTTTGTATTTTTAGTAGAAATGGGGTTTCACCATGTTAGCCAGGATGGTGTGGAACTCCTGACCTCAGGTGATCCACCTGCCTCGGCCTCCCAAAGTGATAGGATTACAGGCGTGAGCCACCGCACCTGGCCCCCGCTTTTTAGGACTTTTTATCTTTGGAGCTTTGAAATTTTATCAGTGTGTCTAGATATTCGTGTTTTTCATTTCGTTTACTTGGTACTCTGTGTTCCCCTTCAGTACAAGGACCAGCTATCTAGCAGAGCACATTGAATGTTTTCCTCCTTAGCTAACTTTCTAATTTATTTTCTTCCACGTTTGTTTTGGATGCTCTGAGTTACCGCCAGCTGTACTCTGCTTCCATCTCAACCCCCTCACATTCCAATAATTTTCTCTATGATAATTGAGCCCCTGATTCTTGATTAATAAAGGGTAACTGCAAAATATATAATTTCCCATTTCATTCTCTGAACAATACTTTCTTGTTACAGAAACCTCTCAAAAGAGTATCCTCTAATTCCTCTCTTCCCACTCACCCAATAATGTCAGATAATCTGACTTCAAACCTCCTGCCTTGAATGAAACTGCTCTCTTGAAAGTCAATTGCCTTTTAAGAACTGTCACGTTCATCATGATTCTTTCAGGATTTGACATTATCCCGCCCTCCCCATCCCACAACCGTTCTTGAAATGCTCACCTTCCTTGGCTTTCAAGGCTGACAGGATTTTAATTTTCTTCCTCCTTTTTTCTGCTTTTCTGTCTCTTTCATTGCCTTAGTGACTCTTCATCCTCTAAATGTGAGTTTTTCCCTTAGGTTCTGCCTCAACATTCTCTTCCCCAGAAATCTCACTCATTCCTACAGGATCAGGTATGGCTTTTAGGCAAATAACTGTCACCCTCTCACTCTCATCGGCCAATATACATTTTGCAGGCCACCTACACTAAGTGCCTCATAAATATTTTGCTAACAGCATTTATTAAAAGAAATAATCATTTCCCTTAGGAGACCCTACTCCTTGCTGTACATTTCGCATTTCTTTTTAACAAACACACAGTGCCCAAAATAAATATTTGATGAATAAATAAATATAAAATTAAAAATAATTTGAGCAGAAATACTGCAGAAAGCTGTTTTAGGCTTATCAAAATATTGTGCTGAACCCATTTGGTTATATAAAGATAGGACGCCGGCTTGAAAAGTTACTGGCTATAGAATAGACATATACTTTACATAATTGCAGAGTAATAATTAAAGTTTACTGAGGCTTCCAGAGAGAGAAGGTGAGGCTCACTGTGGACAATAGAGAAGGAGAGTGAGGCTAAGAAGTCTTGGGAGAGGAATAAAAAAAGACATGTCCAGAAAAATGGTGGGAAAATGAGACCAGAGGAAAAAAACTGAAAAATTCATTGTGGAAGGAATTGAAAAATAAATTATTAATAATAGTGATATTTAGATAGAAATAAATACTACGCTGCGGTAAAATATAATCCCTCTCTACTCCATCCAACTTTTATTAAATGCCTACTTAACCTGCATTAGAGATACTTAAAAGGAAGGGATTAAAGAAAAAAAAGCTTGGTTTCATGTTGAGGTTGAAAAGGGAGACAGAATAAAGAAAATAGCCCCAGAAGGAAAATGCAAAGCAGTTATTGATAATACGGATGAAATAAGTGGATGAGTGGACAGGCAGAAATGTATGCAACCCCTGCCTCAAAGAATCTTTAGAAATATTAAGAGGATGTTGAATTTCTAGCTCTAAATTATGTTAAAGGTAAGCCAAGTGTGTGTTTAAAAATTTATACTAAATTAAAGATAAGTTCTTGGAAGGCTAGAGAATTTGGGAGCACCTTGATGACAATGCTAGGGTTATAAATTCACATTCTTTTACTTGTATCTGGGTATTGCATATTAGTAATATCCATTAAACATGGTCCTTCCAGTGATTTTGTATTTTCAGAACAATATGAGAACACTAACATGATCTAGCAAGGAGTCCAGAATAGTTTGCTCATCATCATATGACTGTGCTTCTACAAGGCTGGTGACCAAGTGGCCAAGGATGGGCAAGGGGGTTAGGGACGGCATCTCTTACATGTCAAATTATTCCCTATTCCATCTTAACAGGTTTTTCTTCCCCCAACATCCCAACCTTTACAGGAGACATTAGCACTAATTATCCAATTATAATGAACTTTTTCATCAAGAAGTAAGTAGAAGTCATTACAATTTTGCTTCTCTGAAGGAAAAATGTTTTCCATTGTGTTTTAGTTTCTTAAAAAAATGTTTTACCTGACATTTTTCCAGTAATTAAAATCCCTCTATGAATCTGTATATTCTGTAGATTATTATTTCTTTGGCAGAAAATTGTATAAGAGTATATCCTCCTAGTGGGGATACAATTGACTTAAAATAAGTTATATTAAAATGATTGCATTGGTTATTTGATAACCAAAGTTTAATGAGTCAACATTGTAAGATAGCTATACCAAACCTAAATTTAATTTTTGATTGCATTTTTGAAGCATGGAATTCAGAACTTTTGAATTGCATATCAATTAGTAGTGGTCTTTATTTTTTAAGAGGCATATTGATAAAGTAAAATGTGTGCAAAGAAAGGTGCTCAGAACATTAAAAAGGTGAGAAGGAGAGTGAAGATTGTTTCAAAAAAAGAGATTAGTTTAATTTTTATTTTGGAAATAATTTTTGAGTGCCCAATGGATAAGGCACTTTAGAGAATAAAATCCAGTAAGAAAACTAGGACAAATCCAAACAATCAAACTTCAATATTGAGTTATTAGTACCCTAAGCTACATACACATAGATTCTAACAGAAATCAGGAACTGAGATTTTTTAACTTGAAACAAGAAAACTTCAGGAAAAAAAATAGTAATTATCTTCAAATATTTAGAAACTTATCATGTAGAAGAAAGATTACAAATAAATCAACTATATTGTTTAGGCAACTATATTGTTTATAAGGAAAAGTAGGTCAAATCCATAGGAAGAACTTTCTAATGATTTGGGATGCATGAAAAGGAATGAGTGGCCACACGAGGTACCTACCAAGCCTTTGATCACTGGAAGTGCTTAAATGGTGGCTGTGTGACTAATGAATATTGTAGACATAATTCTTACATGGATTTATCTATGATTCCTGGAATTGACTGTGATTCTTATCTTTCTCCCAACTCCATGTCCTGTCAATTTTAAATTCCCATCATATCCCTATCCAAAGCTTTTCCAAATCTGTAAAATCAGTGGTAGAGCTGATGCCTCTACCACTCCAGTCCAAATCCCAGTAGCCTCTATCACTTGGACCAATGTAATGGTCTCCTAACTGCTCACATCATACCACCGCCCAACCCCCAGCATTTCTGCTGCTGAGAATTCTCCACATAGCACAGGGACAGATCCTTTACAAGGTAAAACATATATAAAGTCCTTTTATGACTTCTCAGTATTTAGAATAGAATCCAAACTCTTTACCCTGTCTCGTATGAAAAAGCCCAGTAGAATCTGCCCCAGCCTACACCTTCAAGACCATCTTGCATCTTTCATACCATGCTCTAACCATACTGGCCTCCTTTTCGTTTCTGCAACATGCATAGCTCATTTCTCCTCTGCACGAATTGATTTTTTTCAACTGAAAAACTAATTGTGCTTGACAGATTGTCTTGTCATTCTTATCTAACCTAAAATTTCACCCCTTTCAAGAGACCCTTCCCGACTATCAAATACAAAGTACTTATACAGTGATTTCGTAAGACCAAATTTTAATTATTTGCAAAGAACTCATCAACCTGTGTTTTGTTTGGTTTTTGTTCATTTGTTTTAATAAATTGCTGTATCCACCAAACCACTGAACTGTGAGCTTCACAGGAGTAGGAATATTAACTGTCCATTACTGTATCTTTTGCCTGGTAAGCAACTGAAAAGTACTTTGGAAGGGTGAGAGAAAAGAAAGAGAGAGGAGAGAGAGGGGAAGGAGAAAGATTATTTTCATTGAACAATCTCATAATATTAACTTTACTCACTTTATTCTAGGTGATTTCCTCAGATATATCTTCCAATTCACAAACATTTCCTTTTACATTAGTGTTTATCCCATCTACAGAATTTTTAATTTTAGTAATTGTATGTTTAATTTTTAGTAGTCCTGTTTTTCTTAATCTGCTCATGTTTATTCTATTTTTACTTATTCATTCTTTCTTATTCATAGTTTTAAAATGATTTCAACTCCTTAGGAAAGTAACTTTAAACATATCTCCTTCACAGTTTATTTAAGGTGGTTTTTTCCTAGTTCTTGGTTTGCTCCTTGTGTTGCATCTGCTGCTTCTTCTGCATATTTTTCTGTTTCCTTCTTTAATTTATTTTTCTTTATATTTTTTATTTAATTTTATTTCTATTGAGTGTTCATTTTGCCCAGTACTTTTCCCCTGTGAAACTCATATAATGCCTGACTGTAAAAGTCCTTCCACAACTTCCATAGCAGTAAATTCTTTGGTTTTAGGTTACTGAATCATGACAGCATAAATTCACACCATACACCTGTGCGGTATGTGCCAGTGTTTGTTTTTTTTCTTGGGTAGTTTTTTTTTTCCCCTCCCACTCAAAGCTCCAGACAGAAGGCAAGCTTTCTTCTCACTGTTTCCCAGGCCACTGAGTAGTTTTACTAGATCTCTGCTGATAGATGGGGCAGCTTTCTGAAGCCTCAGACTTTCTATAGTTGGATTGCTTTTAGTTCTCCAAAACTACAAAGGCCGAGGACACTCTCCTGTCTACGCAACAACACTTAGATCCCAATTCTTAGCCATTTAGAGCATATAGCTGTCTAAAATAATTAAGATCATCCAGCGTACCCTTAATATTTTGTCTTTTATTGTTCCTGTTGTATTTTATGAACACCTATACATTTCCCTTTCTTTTGGGCTTGGCTCATTTTTTCTGTCATTACATTTTATCCAACATTTTAATGAATTTTTAACAGCTCTGGGTCTATTAATATCAGCCCATCCTGCCATGTGGCTGGAATTCTTTCCAATGAAATAGGCACTTTATTTAAGTGCCTAACTGGATGAGTTAGGTCCTATTATTATTCTCATTTTACTTATGAAGCTGATGAGGTTTCAAGAGGTTATGTTACTTGTCCATCATTACGTAGCTAATATGTGCTGGATCTGGGACTCAAAAAAAATTGCGTCAAATTGATGGCCAAGTCATGCTCTCAAGTATAAGGACATATAGTTAATAAGACCACTAAGATTTCTTTCAAATTATAACTAATTTTATGTCCTTTGTATCCTTTACTTTTCTAAATTTGCAGACATCTCTTCATGGTGTTAATTATGGTAGCAAGGCTCAAATATGATTAACAGAGAATCAGGCAAATATATGCTCTGGGTTTTTATAATCTTAGCTGTCAGTTCCTTTCAACTGTTTTGTAGATTTTATTTGATACTCTATGGGAAGCAAAATATGCTAGATTAAGTGCCTCACAATGTGAATTGATATTAAGATACATTTAAAAAGAATGTAATCCTATGGAGTCATTAACATGAGGTAGAATCACTTTAATGATGAGTAAGGTATCATACTGCTTCCTCTCTAACATTTTCACCCTTAACAACCACATACCTTTGAAATTTTGCCTCTACCAAAATTTCTTTTATGGAACATAAATAAGATGAATTTGATCCTGTCATTATGATGTTAGCTGGTTATTTTGCTTGTTAGTTCATGCAGTTTCTTCCTAGCCTCGATGGTCTTTACAATTTGGCATGATTTTGCAGTGGCTGGTACTGGTTGTTCCTTTCCATGTTTAGTGCTTCCTTCAGGAGCTCCTTTAGGGCAGGCCTGGTGGTGACAAAATCTCTCAGCATTTGCTTGTCTGTAAAGTATTTTATTTCTCCTTCACGTACGAAGCTTAGTTTGGCTGGATATGAAATTCTGGGTTGAAAATTCTTTTCTTTAAGAATGTTGAATATTGGCCTCCACACTCTTCTGGCTTGTAGAGTTTCTGCCGAGAGATCCGCTGTTAGTCTGATGGGCTTCCCTTTGTGGGTAACCCGACCTTTCTCTCTGGCTGCCCTTAACATTTTTTCCTTCATTTCAACTTTGGTGAATCTGACAATTATGTGTCTTGGAGTTGCTCTTCTCGAGGAGTATCTTTGTGGCATTCTCTGTATTTCCTGAATCTGAATGTTGGCCTGCCTTGCTAGATTGGGGAAGTTCTCCTGGATAATATCCTGCAGAGTGTTTTCCAACTTGGTTCCATTCTCCACATCACTTTCAGGTACACCAATCAGACGTAGATTTGGTCTTTTCACATAGTCCCATATTTCTTGGAGGCTTTGTTCGTTTCTTTTTATTCTTTTTTCTCTAAACTTCCCTTCTCGCTTCATTTCCTTCATTTCATCTTCCATCACTGATACCCTTTCTTCCAGTTGATCGCATCGGCTCCTGAGGCTTCTGCATTCTTCACGTAGTTCTTGAGCCTTGGCTTTCAGCTCCATCAGCTCCTTTAAGCACTTCTCTGTATTGGTTATTCTAGTTATACATTCACCTAATTTTTTTTCAAAGTTTTTAACTTCTTTGCCTTTGATTTGAATTTCCTCCTGTAGTTCGGAGTAGTTTGATCGTCTGAAGCCTTCTTCTCTCAACTCGTCAAAGTCATTTTCCGTCCAGCTTTGTTCCGTTGCTGGTGAGGAACTGTGTTCCTTTGGAGGAGGAGAGGCACTCTGATTTTTAGAGTTTCCAGGTTTTCTGCTCTGTTTTTTCCCCATCTTTGTGGTTTTATCTACTTTTGGTCTTTGATGATGGTGATGTACAGATGGGTTTTTGGTGTGGATGTCCTTTCTGTTTGTTAGTTTTCCTTCTAACAGACAGGACCCTCAGCTGCAGGTCTGTTGGAGTTTGCTAGAGGTCCACTCCAGACCCTGTCTGCCTGTATCAGCAGCGGTGGCTGCAGAACAGCGGATTTTCGTGAACCACGAATGTTGCTGTCTTATCGTTCCTCTGGAAGTTTTGTCTCAGAGGAGTACCCGGCCGTGTGAGGTGTCAGTCTGCCCTTACTGGGGGGTGCCTCCCAGTTAGGCTGCTCGGGGGTCAGGGGTCAGGGACCCACTTGAGGAGGCAGTCTGCCCATTCTCAGATATCCATCTGTGCTTGGAAAACCACTGCTCTCTTCAGAGCTGTCAGACAGGGACATTTAAGTCTGCTGAGGTTACTGCTGTCTTTTTGTTTGTCAGTGCCCTGCCCCCAGAGGTGGAGCCTACAGAGGCAGGCAGGCCTCCTTGAGCTGTTGGAGCTTCCTGGCTGCTTTATTTACCTAAGCAAGCCTGGGCAATGGCAGGTGCCCCTCCCCCAGCCTCGCTGCCGCCTTGCAGTTTGATCTTAGACTGCTGTGCTAGCAATCAGTGAGATTCCATGGGCGTAGGACCCTCCGAGCCAGGTGGAGGATATAATCTCCTGGTGCGCCGTTTTTTAAGCCCATCGGAAAAGCGCAGTATTAGGGTGGGAGTGACCTGATTTTCCAGGTGCCGTCTGTCACCCCTTTCTTTGACTAGGAAAGGGAACTCCCTGACCCCTTGTGTTTCCCGAGTGAGGCACTGGATTAAGCAAATGTGGCACATATACAACATGGAATACTATGCAGCCATAAAAAATGATGAGTTCATGTCCTTTGTAGGGACATGGATGAAATTGGAAATCATCATTCTCAGTAAACTATCGCAAGGACAAAACACCAAACACCACATGTTCTCACTCATAGGTGGGAATTGAACAATGGGAACACATGGACACAGGAAGGGGAGCATCACACTCTGGGGACTGTTGTGGGGTGGAGGGAGCGGGGAGGGATAGCATTAGGAGATATACCTAATGCTAAATGATGAGTTAATGAGTGCAGCACACCAGCATGGCACATGTATACATATGTAACTAACCTGCACATTGTGCACATGTACCCTAAAACTTAAAGTATAATAACAATAAAATAAAATAAAATAAAATAAAATAATAAAAAAAGAAGATGAATATACATTATTAATGAAGCATTAATAAGTGTTAATATTAGGCCACAGTAGATTCATTCTGGAAGAGGCACAGAAAAAAAAATCAGTAATTTATATATTCATTCCACAAATTACTGAGACTGAAAGGCATTAATTTTGGTGTCCTCTATAGACCCTAAAGGTTTTCTGAATCCAAGCTTAATAAAAGAATAAAATTCTCACAACAGTACTCAATTATTCTTAGTAAATGGCTGAGAAAGAACTGAACTCTTTTACCAGGCTTGCAATCTGTTAATCATTCAAAAAGGTCACAACTGAATCATACAAATACTTTATTTTTCTGTGTAACAGTGCTCTATGTTTTTCTCAAACCCAGTAGTTTCACAGATCAGAATTTTCCACTTCCCTTAAACACTAGATTGACCTCAAAAACAAGTCTCAAAAGATATCCTTCCAGACATTAAAAAAAAAAACAGAAACAACTACCAAATGATGTTTGACATTTAGGAATGACCTTTGTGTAGCAAAAAAAAAAAAAAAGTAATTTTCCAAAAAGCCAACTTTCAAACTTTCCCAGAAATGAATTTCCAAATGAAAAGACATCATGAGCTAAAAAAGTAATTGCCAGCCTTAAACTTATTTTTGCAAAGACCATGGAAAGTAGTAGAGTTAAATGCCCAAATTAAACATAAATGTTAAGTTTCACGTCCCTTTTGTAACACTGCTGAATCAGGTTTGATACCTTCTAAATGTGCACTTTCTTTTTAATTGTTAAACCTCTCTTTCTCACACACAGCCTCCTATATAGACAGAGGGCATAGCATGCTGGTATCCAGAGCATCACACTGAATTTAATGACTCAGGCATTTAAATTAGATTTGTGGTTTGCTGTCTTGACCTGTGGCTTTACCCTCAAAATTTCCTTTTTTTTTTAAATTATACTTTAAGCTTTAGGGTACATGTGCACAACGTGCAGGTTTGTTACATACGTATACATGTGCCATGTTGTTGTGCTGCACCCATTAACTCGTTATTTAACATTAGGTATATCTCCTAATGCTAGCCCTCCCCCCTCCCCCCACCCCACAACAGGCCCCGGTGTGTGATGTTCCCCTTCCTGTGTCCATGTTTTCCCATTGTTCAATTCCCACCTATGAATGAGAACATGCAGTGTTTGGTTTTTTGTCCTTGCTATAGTTTGCTGAGAATGATGGTTTCCAGCTTCATCCATGTCCCTACAAAGACATGAACTCATCATTTTTTATGGCTGCATAGTTCCATGGTGTATATGTGCCACATGAAGAACATTCCATGCTCATGGGTAGGAAGAATCAATATCATGAAAATGGCCATACTGCCCAAGGTAATTTATAGTTTCAATGCCATCCCCATCAAGCTATGAATGACTTTCTTAACAGAATTGGAAAAAACTACTTTAAAGTTCATATGGAACCAAAAAAGAGCCCACATTGCCAAGTCAATCCTAAGCCAAAAGAACAAAGCTGGAGGCATCACGCTACTTGACTTCAAACTATACTACAAGGCTACAGTAACCAAAACAGCATGGTACTGGTACCAAAACAGAGATATAGATCAATGGAACAGAACAGAGCCCTCAGAAATAATGCCACATATCTACAACTATCTGATCTTTGACAAACATGACAAAAACAAGAAATGGGCAAAGGATTCCCTATTTAATAAATGGTGCTGGGAAAACTGGATAGCCATATGTAGAAAGCTGAAACTGGATCCCTTCCTTACACCTTATACAAAAATTAATTCAAGATGGATTAAAGACTTAAATGTTAGACCTAAAACCATAAAAACCCTAGAAGAAAACCTAGGCAATACCATTCAGACATAGGCATGGGCAAGGACTTCATGTCTAAAACACCAAAAGCAATGGCAACAAAAGCCAAAATTGACAAATGGGATCTAATTAAACTAAAGAGCTTCTGCACAGCAAAAGAAACTACCATCAGAGTGAACAGGCAACCTACAGAATGGGAGAACATTTTTGCAATCTACTCAACTGACAAAGGGCTAACATCCAGAATCTACAATGAACTCAAACAAATTAACAAGAAAAAAACAAACAACCCCATCGACAAATGGGTGAAGGCTATGAACAGACACTTCTCAAAAGAAGATATTTATGCAGCCAAAAGACACATGAAAAAATGCTCATCATCACTGGCCATCAGAGAATTGCAAATCAAAACCACAATGAGATACCATCTCACACCAGTTAGAATGGCAATCATTAAAAAGTCAGGAAACAACAGGTGCTGGAGAGGATGTGGAGAAACAGGAACACTTTTACACTGTTGGTGGGACTGTAAACTACTTCAACCATGGTGGAAGACAGCGTGGCGATTCCTCAGGGATCTAGAACTAGAAATACCATTTGACCCAGCCATCCCATTACTGGGTATATACCCAAAGGATTATAAATCATGCTGCTATAAAGACATGCACACGTATGTTTATTGTGGCACTATTCACAATAGCAAAGACTTGGAACCAACCCAAATGTCCAACAATGATAGACTGGGTTACCCTTTAAATTTCATACTGCATCTACCTACAGAAGGATATTTTTAGGCTTCAAGCAGTAGATTGTTTGGAAAAGAGTGATAGGAACCATTTAAGTCCCACTCTGAGACCGACAAAGAAGCGATATCTAAAAATGCATGACAAAGTTACTATCAAATGATCATATAAAATTAAACTCAGAAGTCACAGAGAGGTCTGTCAACATTTTCTTCCTTTTGTTCTGAAGTGACAACAACATTTCATGAGCTCTGACTATGCCACTATGCCTTAGTAGAAGGATAAAATTTGTTGCCTTATTTACATTTCTGTGGAATAAACCTTTTTATTTCTTCACCAATGTAGAGATGAGGAAGTAGAAGATAAAGTAATAGTGTCTAGTTACACTGTATATTAGAGAGCTCAGATTGAAAATTAAGTATGTTTGTGTTAAAAGCAATGTTGTTTGTCCTACGATACTAAAAGTAAATACACACAGGCAGGGTGTTGTTTTCTCATATAAAAGTAATTCAAGTTCATAATAGAAAATATAAAATGCTAGAAAAAATATATTATGTGTCCACCAACTCCACTACCAAAAAAATTATTAGTAACATTATCTTCCAAGTTTTGGACTGTGTTTTGTGAGGAAGCACATATAACAAGATGTTATTTGGTTTTCTTGAGAACCTGTTAACACACATTACCTAATAGTGCAAAGATTTCATCATTCAAGAAATTTTACTTAATTAAAATCTCCAATGTCTTCCAAGGAAAAAAGGGCACCATTTATTGGTCATCCCAAATAGGATATTGACAGGATTTCATCCAAAAGAAGAAAAAGAGGGGGTCTCAGGAGAATCACTTATATATTTAAGGGAGACTGAAACTTTTCTGATTGGATGTCCATTTAACCACAAGGCTTGCTTGTCAGCTCGGCTGATGTCAGATACGGAAGAGAGGAGATGCTTAGGTGAGACCATGTGAACTACAAATACAGAAGTGGATTAGTTTCTGAAGCTCAGGGAAGTGAATGAGGATTTTTATAACTTCAAGATAAAAATATATAGAAATAATAGAAATTATATAGCAATACGGAAGTCACAACAAGGGCTTTGTTTTGAAAGCTTGTGACTTCACTTTGAGTTCAAATTCACTTTGAGAGTTTAACTTCTTAATGGAAATATTCAGCCTATAGTTAGAAATACAGACTAAGACTGTCAATATGATGATATAGGCTTACTGACTTTTGACTGTGATTGGGTGAGGTTGGATAGGGTCTACAAAGCAAATAAGACCTACAGGCTGCTTTTGGAGAAAGCCCACTTTTGAGATTAGGAGAGAAAACAAGAAGTTTGAAATCAGGTGAAGAGGAATAGTGAAAGTAGACAGAAAAACTAGGAGAGTGTTTCACCAGAGAGGTCTAGCTGAGACATATTCAAGGAATAAGAGAAATGCTCTTAGGCGTTCAGAAGGTTACTAGATTTGGAGACAAGGTAGTCATTGTGGACCCTTAAATATCAAACCATTTCCAAAAAGATAAAAGAAGAAATAAGTTAATTAGAAAAAAAGAAACCTTAGAATTGGTCATCGATCAATAATGCCAATAGATGTTTCTTTTTGAGAGTAGCAGAAAAACTGTAGCAAATTCAATGAAGAGATAAAAATCCATGTAGAAATTAAGACAGCAATAGTTAATTAAATAATTTATTGTCTTTAATATTAAAGTTGATATTATTGTAAACATTAATATTAAGATCTCATCGAACTTTATGTAACATAAAAGATAAGGTAATGCAAGAAACAGGAGAAATATTTCATTGTTCAATAAAGAAGAAATAGAAAATATTAAAGAACTATATACAAATGAGGACAAAACTCATAGACATTGAAGGGTTTGTTTTTAAATTTTTTATATTAAAGTTCTTTCTTGATACATATAAAATGTTACAGAAATGGAAAGGATGAAAAGCTACCTAGTGTGTTTTAGAAAATTAAGACAACACAGAGAGCAACATCTGGCAAACATGGTTAAAAATAACCATAAGGCAAAATAACTTATCTGAAAATACTAAGTAAAATACTAGGATAAAATTACTAGTGCATGAAAGATAAATTGCTTACAACTAAAAACAGGGTCCATTCAAGGAATTAAGATAGGTATTAACATTGGGAAATCATTGAGAGAAATATAATTTCTATAAACCTGGTAAAGTCTGAAATGTATCAACTCTACTTAATTAAAATTATTTTACAATAGGAATCCCTAAAAAAATTAGAAAAAATAACAAATGTCTCGAACTCATAGTTCTATCAAATTTAGTGATGAAACTCTAAAGGCATTCTCAGAAGTAAAAAGTACAAATCAAGGATGCTCATTATAACAATAATTCTTTCACACTGGTTTGGAAGTAGATCCAACAGAATAAGAATCAAAGAATTTATACAACAAACAATGAAAAAAGAAACAAATCATTTAAATGTGTAGACAATAAAGTTATAAAAGCTCAATTTTAAAACCAGTAGAATTAATAATTTCATTGTGTCTGAATATGTGCTAAAATACTCAAATTAACAGCTTTGCTATATCAATAATAAATTATAAACAATAATTTCTAAAAATTTAGTAAAAACAAAGTATAAGACCAGCAGTGAATTTAAAAATAAATATGCTAAAG
Organism: Homo sapiens; assembly: GCF_000001405.40. NCBI lineage: Eukaryota > Metazoa > Chordata > Mammalia > Primates > Hominidae > Homo > Homo sapiens. The sequence goes on along the minus strand of NC_000006.12, from coordinate 68,907,139 downwards.
CTATTGGGAGCATAACTATAAATTTGAATCCGAATTACTGAGTGAGTCAGATGCTGCTGAGTGCTTCAGAATATTATTTACTCCTTACTGTTATCCTTTTGTATATATATTATTTTCATTTGAGGTTTAGAAAGATGAATAAACTTGCCTAATGTCTCACAGTTAAGTGGCAGGATAAAAAGGAAAATAGTGAAGGCAAAAAATGTGAAGAGACAGTACAGAAGCAAATATTAATAGATGTGATAGATTTTACTGTCGAAAGCTTCTAGTACATTATAAAAAGATTTTGCTCATCAGAAACATTATGAATAAAATTTAAAGTTTAACAACAAACCAGGAAAAATATTTGCAGCAAAGTTGCATGAATACAAAATTAACAGACAAACCTATAACAATAACTAATAAACATGCTCATTCCATTAACCATTCAAATAACATAAACTGCAATAGCAATAATTATTTTTATCTATCAGATTAGCAAAAGTCTAAAACATAAACAATACTTTTAAGAGAGTCATAAAATGAGCACTCAGAATGCAATTGGATTCTAAATTATGTAAAATGTGTCTTTTAACAATTTGACCATTTTTATTAGCAACTTTAAAATTTCCAACATTCTTTGACCCAGTAAGTCTACTTTTTGGAATCTATCTGATTAAAAACACTATGGCACATGGTCAATGATGTATGATTAAATATATATTGAAAAATCTCCAATATATATGGTATACCTTCTTGCTTGTAGGCTACAAGCAACAATATATATGGTATACCTTCAATATACATGGTATACCTTCAATATATATGGTATACCAACAATATATATGGTATACCTCCAATATATGTGGTATACCTTCTTGCTTGTAGGCCACAAGCAACAATATATATGCTATATACCAATATATACCATATATACTGAAGAATTAGAAATTAAGGAACAACTACTAATAATGAAATTAATGCCACATTTGAGTAACATTTTCCAAAATATTTTAATGGCAATCAAAAAAGCTCCTGCTACATTTATAAAGACAGTGAAAAGAACCAAAAAGAAAAAAAAAAGAAACTTGTGGTATTTATTTCTATGAGGCTATAGTTTATGTTATCTTTATAATTCATTATCTTTTGAAGATTATCCACAAGGATTATACAGTAATTCTAAAAGTCAAGCAGGAAACTTTTTTTTTAACAAAATTGGTGGTCAGGACATTCTCTCTAGAATATAGAGAGGGAAACTAGATTTGTGTATTTGAGGAGAAAGTAGGTTGTGAGAAAACTGAGGCAGTGGTCAGGTTCCTTCCTTCTACAACCCTATGAAAGAAGAGAGAAAACTGGGACAATAGCTAGAGGGAAGAGTAGAGTGAATATTTGGGAACTTTTTAACCTAATTTGCAAAACTAATTTACAGTTTGAAGACAATCAACGAACTGCTGTGAAGCAAGGAGACGTGGGGATGATCCCATTTCTACTTAGAGCTGTAGAATGATAAAATTGAAGATGGAGGTCATGGACCAGCCTGCAGCAGGTAAGCTTTGAAGTAGGACACAGGTAATTGACTGCTTGACCAACCAAGCAGAAAGGGACGCCTGCTAGAATTGTCATTGCTATTGTGATTAAAATAGATCATAGCCTATTTGCTACAAAATACATCTATTTGCAAGTAACTTTATAATTTTAGTTCATAATAAAGGAAGTGTTTTTTCTCAATCCCGATGGATAGAAAATAAAGAGATGTCTCATATAGTAAGAAATAGAATTAACTTATTAATTATTCTTCACACCAGAGGCTCGGAAGGAGGCTTTGTGAAGTTCATGTCAGCTGGAAAAAGGATTAGCCTATCACGAACGAAGCAAACTTCAGAATTGATTAGGTGACCTTATATGTGTACCCTGAATAATTGTTCTTTAGGAATAGAACTCAAATAAACCACAACATGGGTTTGGATATACTTTTGGGGACTATTAAAACAGATCGTTATATAATACTTATGCAATAATGCTACATATTGGCCAGATAATATGAGATATAGGTAACAGTCCCAACAATCTAGACATACATTTTCTTCATTGTGATTTTGTCCAGTATGAGCCAAGTTGGCAGTCCACACACGGTGGCCATATTCATCTTTAAAAATGGAGTAAAATTCAATGCCCAAGTAACATAATCAATTGCATAAACATGCTCCATGTTAAATTAAGAAAGAAGAAAGATTTTCATTTTTGAAAGTCCTACAACCACTGAAGTGATGAAAATCATAATAAAGCTTCATTAGATTGGGTGTTTATTGAAGGAATGCCTTTGTGAGCTAGTTTCAGCATTTGAAACAAGATCATGAGAGAGATATGAAAGGAGAAAATCAAACCAATGGATTCCTGGATGCCCATGGTTAGAAGCATCTCCATGGAAACAACCTAAGTATCTACCAATAAGCAATAATTACATAAATTATAATATCCAAATATAAAACCTTTTAAATGGATTAAAGTATGAGTCAGATTTATGTGTATTGGCCTGGAAGAATCACCAAGGTAAATTTTCAAATGAATAGTATCAGATAATCAGCAATGATTCCATTTATTTAGACCTTCACTAAAAACATATGTAATGTTTCTAAAAACATAGAAATGTCTCCAAAGAATTACATCAACTTTTAAAATTGGTTACGTCTTTGTAGCAAAGCCAAACGAGAGAAGTAGCAAAGTGTGTAGTCAACATACAGTCATATGCAACATAATGATGTTAAATGAGGTCCACATATATGACAGTGGTCCCATAAGATTATAACTGAAAAATTCATGTCACTTAGCAATATTGTCAGGGTTGTAATGACATATGTCATTACATAGTGCAATGCATTACTTTTTCTATGTTTAGGTGTGTTTAGATACACAAATACTTGCCACTGTGTTACAATTGCCTACAGTACAGTAGCCTGCTGTTAAGTTTATAGCCTTTACAAATTTGAATATTTTCATGCCCAAATACCTCCCTTTCACCCTTCCTTCCTTCCTTCCTCCCTCCCTCCCTTCCTTCCTTCCTTCCTTCCTCCCGCCCTCCAGCCCTCCCTCCTTCCCTCCTTCCCTCCTTCCCTCCTTCCCTCCCTTCCTTGTTTACTCTCTCTTCTTCTCCCCTTTTTTTTTTTTTTTCATATTGTCTTGCTTTCTCACCTGGCTTGAGTGTAATGGCACACTCAGTTTACTGCAGCCTAAACCTCCTGGGCTCAAGTAATCCTCCTGCCTCATCCTCTTGAGTAGCTGAGATTATGGGCATGCACCACCTCACTTGGCTATTTTTTTAATAGACAGGGTGTCACTATGTTGCCCAGGTTGGTCTCTCCTGGCCTCAAGCGATCCTCTCACCTCGGCTTCCCACTCAAAGCGATGGGATTTCAGGCATGACCACTGCTCCTGGCCCCATTTTCTCTTAAGGTTAGTAATTAGAAAGCATCAGAGGTGGTTGTGTCTAAGATGACAGCAGTTAGGCACAGGAGCAGGCCTGCTACTGCTCTTAGAGTGTTATAAGTGTTACAGATATTATAAGCATTATAGGCAATATTTTCATTTGAGTTCCAAATAGCAGCAATTCAGTTGCAAGTATAAGCAAAATTTTATATTTAAAAAATTCTGATGGGATATTGTGTTATTAGTTCATTTATGTTTTCATCTGATATCTGGAAAACTAAATATATCCTGAGACAAATAAATATGTGTTGGTTAAGCTATAATATTTTGAAATATTATCACTAAATTTGTAATCTTTTTCTATTCATTAAGAAATATGAGGTCGGGTTTTTATAATGGTATTTTATTTAAAATAGGTCATTTTGATATTTCTCAATTTTAAGTAATAAGAGATTTAGAGATACAATAATGCATGATCTCCTATTCATAATTTTATATCCTGAAATGTTTAATTTTGTCCCGTCATTGACTGTTATTTACAGAGTTGCACCTTGCCTACCTAAATAATCTACCTTCTTTTCACAAAAGATTTGTTTTATTGTTTGATCAGCATGCTTGCTGCTAGTGAGCTCAAGTCAAAAGTGTAAATCATGGACCAGCTAGTTTATTAAACTTTGTCCTAGATTAAATTACATGTTCTACATATCTAGAGGAGTCTCATTTTAAATAGTCTATGCCTGTAATCAATTCATACATACAAAAACAGGTGGATTGATATTTGTTTCTACATTCCATAATCAGAGACTTTTCACAGAAACCAGAGAAGTTGCAATGAAATAAAACGTGATATTAATCAATTTAAAAATTATGTCAAAATCATATATGTGAGGTGAGAAAGACTTTTAATCAGTGTCTAGTCCTTTTAGTCTACTCAGTCATGCAGAGTTTAAGTTAACAGTGCTAGTGTCAAGATCATTAGGTAAAGCTTTTTTTCAGTTTATCATACAAATGCAAACAGAATCACATGATTATATGTGGTTACATGTATTTTTTTCACTTTTATAGCTAGTTATAGTCCCTATAAGGCCTTAATTATTGGCTTTTTTATGGCCTTTTTCAATATCAAACAACCAACTATATTAATCACAACTTTAGTGTTGAAATCTGAACTAATAGTATCTTACCTGTTAAGTTTTTCTTTAAATCCTCTTATTCTATATTTATTTAGGGGCATTTTAAAATTTTTCTAGCATAATAGAGGACAGCAGTCAATATTCCTTAATTATTGATTCATAATGAAGAAATCAGTTTCTAGTCTACTGTTTCTTGCGTAATGAAAGATAAATGAAAATCACTTGACACTACCATGTGTTAATAATCATTCCCTAAGCAGAAAAAAAAATTACTACAGATGGCTTGATTTATTGTCTTAAAAATGTTTCAGAGAACGTCTCTATTGTTAGTACAACTTTTAGTGTGATAACAGACACAATTTTCATTGAATAAAATAGTTCAATATGTATGGCTGACCTGCCATTTTGAATCAGAAGTAACAGTGTGAATACCTCGTTATTCACACACTGGTTTCAGAATATATATAAAACATAAGGTACAAAATTGTGCATTCTATACACCAAGATGATATTATTAAAAACCTAATGCCACTAGTGATAAAAGGTTTGGAGTGAGTGATCCATACTCTGTCATGCCCATTTCATAATAGTTCTTAACACAAATTCATTTATTGAGAACAAGACGGCTTCCAGCTAAAAAATATAAATTAAATATTGCCAATGTCACCACTTCTCCCATTTAAAAAATGTACAAATGTTTTAAAAACAATATTAAACATTTTTGAAAAAAACAAATCTTAACTATATCATGCTACCTTGACAACATTGCTTTACTTTTTGCGTCTTCCCTACTAGTATTCATTGTTATGTCTGTATTTGCATAATTTTGTTCTCTGCTTTTCTGTTTAAGATTATTTTACAAGAATTTTTCATTATGCCATGTAGTATATATAGCTATTTTAAGGACTTTTTATCTAATATTTTAATGTATGACTTTTTTCCTTACTGTTTCTCATTTAAGTTGTTAAAATTATACACTGGTACTATAGATAATGACAAAAGAAATATTTTAATTGTTAAAATTTACTTAGTGTAGCAAATAAACAGTGTCTAAGATGGTTCCCAATGACCTCCACATCCTGACATTCACACCCTGTGTGAATCCCCTGGATTTAGCATCTGGGTTTAGTGACTCACTTGTACCAAAAAGAGTATTGCAGAGGTAATGATGATTGGGTTATAAAAAGACTGTGGATTCTTCTGACTTGAATGTTCTCTCTAACTGTCTCTTGAATTATTTGTCCCGGAAAAAGCCAGCTATCATGTTCTGAGGCACTATGGAGAGGCCCATGTTGCAAGGAGCCAGGGCCTGCATATAACAACATGAGTGTGCCTGGAAGTAGAACCCCACCCCCCTCCACCCACTAACATCAGCTGAGTCTTGAGATAAGACCATATTCTGGCCAAAGGCAACCTCTTGAAAGGCCTTGAAGCAGAGGTATGCAGCTAAGTTAGGAACTTTACTTTTGGCTTATAGAAACTGAGATAATAAATGCTTGTTATTATTTACTGCTAAATTTGAGGTAATTTGTTATTTAGATATAAACAACTAATATAGACTTGGGAAAAGAAGTAGGGCTCATGGTAAGAACAATAATTCCATGAGCATGGAACTATTAGCATGTTTTATTTCCTGGGAAATGAATTTTTTGGTTAGAAGTTATTATCCTTGAAATATCAAAATAAGTCATTGTATAAATCAACAGATGATAGTTTTTGCAGAAGCATTGTAGGGAGGGAAGGCAAATTCATATACAGAGTAAGTATATATTTCAGTAAGGAGAAGCACTGTTCCTTCTATGATGGAAATGGTTCAATTGGTTGATGCTCCAGGGGACTAGTGCTGCATCACGGGCCCAGTGTTGGTCTCTGAGGCTGGTAAATGGGGCACTCAGCAATAGATGCAGCCAGATTGCTGTCAATGAGTTCATATTGCTGATCAATGTGTAACCTCCATCCTTGTCACCATGGTACTTTGTTCATGAGCTCAGTGGGCAATGACAGGAGTGGCTGGGGAAGGACACTGACTGAAATTCACAGAATGGGTCATCCTATCTACTTGTTTAATAAAATGCTCTTTTTCTGCTGAAGTCAATCTTTGATGAGCTAGATATCTTCAGATATCTTCAGATAGCTGCCTATTTGGAGAGGTCTATCCACATATCTTTTCCCCAGGCCTCCTTGTGGCTACTTTCCCTGTCATGTTCCCTATGAGCCCCTGAATATCTAGCCAACTATTTACTTATAGCCTTTGAATCTCTACAGACCTGTGCTTCTGGTTATGCAGCAATATATAACAACTGTATGTAAGCACATTCTCAGAAATAAGGTAACAGATCAAAATAAATGGTCATTTTTATAGTTTTAGTAATTGTTTTCAGATTGCTATCATGTTTTTCCACTGCCACCAACAATATAAGAGTATATTCATTTGACTGTCATCCTATTATTACATATTTCTAAATGTATACTTATATATAATTATACATGTATGCATACACATAGTCAATACATTTAACTGCTATTTACTGAGAAACTACTGTGTACAAGACAGTGTCTTTAATGTCTCATTAAAAAAATTTATTGATTACCCTCAAGGTAAAATGTAAGTATTTTTTGCTTGTTGTTTACTCTCAGGTATATTACTCATGCCTTTTTCTCAGTCAGCTACTGAACGCCTGATTTTAAAATATGAATTCATTAGAGTTCTTTATGTATTTAAAAATTTTAATAGAGTTATCTAACACATTGTTTAGTAATTTTTATTATTTTTTTACCACATTAAACCTTAGAAAAATTCTCTGCTGAGACATAATATATATTCTTATTATTGCAATATTTAATTAATATTTAATGTTTTAGTCCATTTGGCCTACAGTTTGGTATATAAATATGATAACAACTATATAAGAATGGCTAGACTGAATTAAGAAAATGTGGCACATATACACCATGGAATACTATGCAGCCATAAAAAATGATGAGTTCATGTCTTTTGTAGGGACATGGATGAAATTGGAAAACATAATTCTCAGTAAACTATCACAAGAACAAAAAACCAAACACCACATATTCTCACTCATAGGTGGGAACTGAACAATGAGATCACATGGACACAGGAAGGGGAATATCACACTCTGGGGACTGTTGTGGGGTGGGGGGAGGGGGGAGGGATAGCAGTGGGAGATATACCTAATGCTAGATGATGAGTTAGTGGGTGCAGTGCACCAGCATGGCACATGTATACATATGTAACTAACCTGCACAATGTGCACATGTACCCTAAAATTTAAAGTATAATAAAAAAAAGAATGGCAAAATAATTTATCTAAGAAATAGTTCTAGCTGTCAAAACTATTTCCAAAGGCTTTCGATATTAATTTGTTGGTAGTTGTCAACTAATTTTTTAAATTTTTTGAAATTTTAGATTAGTCTTACATTCACATAAAAGTTGAGAAAATCGTACAAAAAGTTCCCATATAACCTACAAGCAGTTTCCTCTAATGTTAACATCTTACATTACTATGGTATATTTGTCACAACTAATAAACCAATATTGATATTATTAACTGAAGCCCATACTGTTTTTAGATTTTCTTAGACTTTCCGCAATGTCCTTTTTCTGTTCTAATATCTCAATAAAGTTATCACATTAGATTTAGTATTCATGTCTTCTAAATCTTGTTGTGACAAATTTTAGACTGTCATTCATTTTGATGACTTTAATGGTTTTGAGGTGCACTAGTCATGTATTTTCTCAACTGGAATTTGCCTAATATTTTACTCATGATTAGATTGAGGTTATGGATTTTGGGAGGAAGATCATTCTCATCACATCACATCAAGGGTACATGTAATGAACATGAATTATCCCTGTTGATAGCTTAGTTACCTGTTTTAGTTGGCATTTGACTGATTTCTCGACTGCAAAGTTATTCTACTTTCCCCTTTTCCACACTGTACTCTTTGGAAGAAATTCACTATGTGAAGTCCATGTCTAAGGGTTGGGGAGTCATGTTCTAACTCCATTATTTTTAAAATAGTGCCAGGAATACCTTTTCTCTCAAAGCAAATACTCTGAAGTTTTGCTATAATGTTGTGATCGTAAATTTTACTATGAGCTTGCCTGGATTAAGGAAAACTCAGATAGTTGGCGAAACATTATTTCTGGGTGTGTCTGTGAGGGAATTTCCAGAAGAGATTAGCATTTAAATCAGTAAACTGAGTAAAGAGATTTTCCCTCACCAATTCGAGTGGGCATTATCCAATTCATTGAGGGCTTAGCTGAAACAAAAAGGGGAAGGAGAAGCAGATTTACAGTCTTCTGGAGCTAGGACATCCATCCATCTTCTCCTGCCCTTAGACATCAGAGCTCCAGGTTCTCAGGATTTTGGATTTCCAGACTTACACCAGTGGCCCCCCAAGTTCTCAGGCCTTGGGATTTGGTCTGAAGTACACCACAGGCTTTCCTGGTTCTCCACCTTGCAGATAGCATATTCTGAAATTTTTGGCCTCCATAATCCTATGAGACAATTCCTATAATAAACCTCTCTTTCTCTGTCTCTCTCTCTGTCTCTCCCTCTCTCTCTATATATATACATTTTTATTATATATATAATATGTAATATTATATATAATTATTATTATATTATATATATATATTTGTTTCTGTTTCTCTGGAGAATCCTAATAATAATGTGTTTTCCTGCTTTTCTTTTTTCTTTCTTTCTTTCTTTCTTTTTTCTTTTGTTTTCTTCTTTCTTTCTCTTTTTCTCTCCTTCCTTCCTTTTCTTCTTTCTTTCTGTTTCTCTTTCCCCCTTCCTTCCTTCCTTCCTCCCTCCCTTTTCCTCCCTCCCTTCCTTCCTCTTCCTGCCCTCCCCTATCCCTCCCTCCCTTCCTTCTTTCTTCTTTCTGTTTCTCTTTCTTTTTCCCTTCTTTCTTTCCTTCGTTCCTTCCTTCCCTCTTTCCTCTTTCCTCCCTCCCTCCCTTCCTTCCTCTTCCTGCCCTCCCCTATCCCTCCCTTCCTTCTTTCTTGTTTCTCTTTCTTTCCTTCCTTCCTTCCTTCCCTCTTTCCTCTTTCCTCCCTCCCTTCCTTCCTTCCTCTTCCCTCCCTCCCTTCCTCCATCCCTCCCTCCCTTTCCTCCCTCCCTCCCTCCCTTCCTTCAATCCTTCCTTCCTTTCTCCCTCCCTCCCTCCCTCTCTCTCTCTTTCTTTCTTTCCTTCTTCCTTTCCTTCTTTTTCTTTTAAGACGAAATAACCTCTGTTGCCCAGGCTGGAATACAAGTGGCGCTGTCATGGCTCACTGCAGCCTTGAATTCCTGGGCTCAAGTAATCTGCCTGCCTTGACTTCCCAAAATGCTGGCATTGCAGGCCTAAGTCACCACACCCAAACCTCTCTGTATTTCTTGTATTAGACAAATAAAACCTGAAGTGTTGTTTCACAATAAAATTATCTTCATCCCTTCTCCTTTCTGCAATATCTTCCCTTTATCTAACCACTCTCCCACCAGCTACATGAACACCGATTTGGATCAGTTGTTTGGTTTATCCCTAAGTGTGCCTTAGCATGACTACAATAGGACTGAGATTGAAGTCTAAGATTGATCTTGTAACCCCCAGAGGAGCTGCTGGGAGTGGCTTTTGTGTGTAGCGAGGGGCCAAGAGATTTACTGGTTTTCAAATACTATGGGAATTAGGTTAGTCTGTTTAAAGTTATAGGCTCTGATTCTACAAATCAGGTGTTAGAAATAATTCTCCCTGGAAAGAGTATTATTGTGAGTGGCAACAGAATGAAGGTGTCTAGCCCAGTAGACAGGTATTTTTATCTTTGATGATCAAATTGGATAGGCGATGATTTAGAATGCTACTTTTCTTTAAAATTCCTAGTATAACATTATGTTCAACCTCCAACTCCTTTCTCTTTCCCCTAATTGATTCTTTCCTTTCCCCATACGCTTTCTGCTTCTCAAGCAAGAAACAGCTTTGCATCAGTGAAACTAACATATCTACCAGATTTTACCTTTGCAATTATGCTTAATGTAACAGAAAGTTTGTAGTTCAGAAAAGTTACAGTCAATCAAAAAGAGAAGAACTGGATTTTTACTAAAGCAAAATTCTCGGCATTTTCTAATTACTTCATAACTTTAAAGTAGCCACTTTTGAAAATTTTCAGCTATTTTTCTCCTCTATAAAAAATAATAACTGAGAATAGTCTTATATTGAGTAGAGAGAAGAGAAACTTTTGCATCCCTTCCTGACAATCTCTGATCCAGGTCCCCAGGTCCTTTGGATTTTTCATTTGGTATTCCCTCTACATAGTAGTATGTATCAGGGCATAGAGGACAGACAGAAACTATTATAAAATCTCCAGTTCTCTTACATATATTTTTCAAAACCTAACGTGATTATTAGCTGTCAGGTCAACAAGTTCTAAGAGAAGTCTAACTTTCAAGTACTACTTGTACCTAAATTCCTATCCTCCTACTCCTTACCAAGTGTGTATGTTCTTCTTAAAGGAAGCAGTTTCATTACTTTTTAACAGCACAAAAAGTGATTGCTAACTTCATTTCTGGCTTGTGTTCTTATCAAAATTTTAATTTCCCCATGTGAAATTGTAACCCACACAAAGAAATACCACTGTTTTTTGCTTTGCCTCTCACTCTCTACTCCATATTTTTAATAATAAATAATCATAAATTTTGTTTTTAACAGTTAATACTTTGATATTTTATATGTTTTTGTCTGCTAGTGCAGATCAACTTAAAAAAAATAAGTTATTTCTTCAAGAATATACACAATAATGACAATTCAGGAGGAAAAAAAAACACTATGTGAATTCCCAGTTTCCATTCCTAGGCATTTATTGATCTGCTATAAGTCTTAACATTCTGTACTTTAAAAAAGTTATTTGGTGATTTTGCTCATCAGGAAACATTGGAAAACATTGATCTGAACAATTGGCACACTGTATAATACAGTAATCCCTCACTAATATCAAGTTTCAAGACTGTAGGTATTTATATTTATATACTCATGTTTCAAGATATGAAATATTTTCATGTAAGAGAGTTTATTCCTCTTTAATCAGAGCATATGACAAATACTGTTCTACACAGCACATGGTCAGTCTATGAAATAGTGCACAAACAGATTTGTTCAATTCCACCCTCTTGGTGTATGGCTAGAACCCCAGTCCTAGAAAGATGTCATCACAAAATTTTGCAAAATCCTGTACACTAAATACATGTTTTTCAAGACTTGCAAAAATAAAGCAAAGAAAAATACAAGTGCTAAATACATTATATTTCAAGTCAGTGTGACTTGTTTCAAAGACTTCAACAGGAAGTGTACTCTTCACAGCATTGAACTAAAAAAAAAAAAAAATTAGTCTCAGCAGATTCAGCAGCTTATGAAACCAGTACAATATTGAACTACTGAAGGAGATAGCAAAAGAAAGTTAAATCTGGGGAAGGATTATTATACTAATGAATATCATCTTCAGAAAAGAATACGTTCTAGAATTTTTATTTATTGTGTTTAAAAAGTATATTTAATACCACTTAATAATTTTCTCCACTAACTGCTTTTATCTATGAGATTTTGATTTTGACAAAAGCAGACTTTTTTTTTCAACTATGATGCTTTTTGATAACCAAAAGCATGCAGTTAGTTAGGGATTACCTACTGATAATGGGATCTTGTCTGATTATAAACACTGAACACTGAATTTTAAAAAAATAGCTCATTCACATAGCAAGAGGATTAATAGTTATTTGAAGTAACAAATCAAGCTTGTATCTTAACTCATGATTTTAAGTGAAATGTTTATGCCAAAATTACTGGGCTCACCGCATGTTCCTTAGACTCATTTAAATTTCTGAGATCAGAAAGAGTTAGTGTTTTGATGGAGTTATCTAAATAAGTACTTCATCTGAATTTCACAGGCCATGAATGCAATTTTTTTTCTATACTAACCAATCCACCTGTGTATATAACATGAGTTCATAAGGTAATTATCTACTTTCTACTATACTCCTTTGGGCAAGGGAGGCAGATAAAGGGAACAAAGTGCAGTCTTTTGAGGGCTCATTCCATAATTTTCAGCATTTTGGAGTTATCTGTTTTTGATTTTCTCACATCTTCTATCTAAAGAGGCATAGTCTAGAAAGAAATTGACATATACCTTGTAACTCATATAGAACAGGAATATTCTGCAGAACAGATGTTCTGGAAGTTCAACAATTAAACCAGCAGAACTTTACACAGTTCATACAATATGCCCATATTTTATATCCATCTTATCATTTAGAAGCTAAAATAAAGCACCATTTTGCTTTTTCTAAATGTGGAGCATTGGTCAGGAAGCAATGTATTCCTACATGGGGATGTATTATTGTTATCAAATTCAATAGATACCATGTGCCAAGCAATGGGTCATGGAACAACTATGCTTAATTCTACGTGATGATGAAGTAATTAAAAAAGGATTTTGAAATAAATGTTATTTCATAGTATTATTCATAAGATTATCTACATTTGGAGAAAACTGTAGCAGGATTACTTTTTATAGTTAAAGATTAACTTTATATTATTAAAATATATCATCTAAAAATAAACCATGTTATTGATACATATATCATCTATGCTCATTTAAGAAATTTTATGCTTTTCAAACTGACTTTGAGAGTGATGAAGTTAAATACCAGATTAAGTATTTGAGGAAGAAAGGTATATAAGTACAGTATTTGAATAAAGTTAGGGTTAGAATTATAATCTGTTTATAAATTCCAATGTTATTTTCCAGGGCCTTAATATTTACAAAAACTATATATTGGCAAAAAACTTAAGTACATGGAATGTAATTTTTAACTTATATTTGGAAATAAGTTAGCATTAATTAAACTGATACCTTTGAGGTTAAAATATGCTCGCTTTGTTTCATAAAAGCATAATACTTATAGTGTGTTCCTTTCTATTGTCCTTTTTTTCTCTTTCCTCCTCTTTGTTTCTTTTTTCTTTTTAAATCATTCATAGCAGTGGGACAGAAAGCATAACACTGAAGGAAAAAAAAAAAAAGAGTTGGTTGTCCTGGAGACAGGCTTTCTTTTTTTTCTTTATCAGTAGGTATGTACCCTCATTTTGAATGCTAAGGAAAAATACTGGCTTTCATATATAATTCTTTTTATATTTAACTTTAAAGATATGTCTCAGACAAGGTCTTTTATTTTAAAAACCTAAAAATATTGCACCATCAATTTCATTCCTAGTGAAATACAATTTTATTAAAAGTATCACTTTCTGCTTACTTAGGTAATGAAAGCAATTTGATAGGCCAGCTGCTTTATTTCACAAACTCTATGAAAATAAACAACTATTTTCTGGGTAATAGTCTTTATTTTTCCTGCATTTCCAAGCAATAACAGATCCTTTCTCTTTCTCTAATAAACTGCCAATCTGAGAGTTTTGTTTGATTTTGTTTTCTATATAGTAATGATAATGATGTTAATTTCATATTGTTACTGAAATTCCAGAAAATACCCTGAGCAAAAATTTTCCAATGTTTTCAAGGGTCATAGAGGTCCAAAGAATAAAACTAAGGCAGGCATTAGAGAAGCAGCTAAGAAATAAATTATTCCTCTGGTGTAGATAGAAGTCAGGTGGAACTTGAGAGGCTGGGGACTCTACTTGAGGCTTTATAAAGTACAAAAATTATGTAACTTTCTTCCCCATTAAGTACTATCCAAATTGCATCTTTCAACTGATACTATTTCAGTTTCTTCTGTCTTAATAAACTTTTTGAGGTATATATTTTGCCAATTTGTCTATATAAGTTTCTCCGAGTGTTTTTTTGCCGAAATATACTGATAACAACAAACTTGCTTATGGAAACTTCTGCTTAGTAGTTACATATTCGTATTGGTATTTATCAACACCCAGCCAATATTTATTGCACAACCCAGGCCCTCTGAGAGGTATGAGAAATGTTAAGACACACATGATCCCTGCTCTTAGGGAGTTTACAATCCAGTGGTGGAGGCCAAGGAAAATAAATAAATAAATAGAAATTATGATCTATACCATAAAGGAAATAAATTGAGTGTTGAGTTGGAGACTAATAGCAATGAGCTGGCTAATTTACATAAGGGGCTCAAGGAAGACCTCTCTGAGGAGTGACACTTAACTGGAGGCCTGAAAGATGAAAAGCAAGAACAAGAACACAAAGGCCTTGACCAGGAAAAGGTTCAGCCTGTTGGGGAAACTCAGAGGCTGCTGTGGCTAGGGCTTCAGATGGATGGAGTGAGGCTGGAGATGCTTTGTTATTGCTATGCTTCAGTAGTTTGGATCCTACTCCTCAACAATGAAAAGCCACTGGAGAGTTTTAAGCAGAAGGAGATGTTCCAAACTATAGTTTAGAGATGACACTTGATGGCTGAGTGGAAAATTGATTTCAGTGAGACAAAGGTGTTTTAAAATTCTCTATAGCTGCATTTATCAATTCTGTAGCCACTAGCTGCAGGAGGGTATTTAAATTTAAACTAACTAAAATTCCATAAAATAAAAAATATAGTTCCTCAATAGTCACATGTGATTGCTGGAAACCAGACTGGACAGTATGGACAGAACATTTTCATCAGTGCAGGGACATATTCCTGAACAGTGCTGCTCTAGCAGATCACCCATATCTTCTTGGTCTCCACTCTTCGGCTCCTCCACCCTTCTGCAGTAACTACCAGCTGGAAGATTGATCTTGGCTCTGTCATCTTCATTCCTCACTTTCCTGACTATTCTATGACCACTTCTCTAATTCCTTTCCCTTCAGCATCTCCCTCTCCTCTTCCTCCACTCCAGACACAGCTTTTCAGGAGCCAGTTGAACAACTTCATAGAGCTATTATGAAGGTGGGTTAAATTCAAGACACTCATAAGTGTTTTGTTTTCCTCATGAGTATTAACTAAACCTGAACCCTCTATTTTCATTAATGGCACTACTAGTCTCTTAGTCACCAGCTTGAAGTCATCTGACTCCTTCCTTCTGACTCAGACATTCATTAAGTTGTTTGATCATACATAATCTACCATCATAATGTCTCACATACTTTTCATTTTTAAATTTACCTAGTTAATTCTTGTCTAGCCTTTTCTTATAATTTCCTTAATAAAATTCATTCCAGACCAGCATTGTTACATTAGTCTTAAGTTTAAATCAAGGTCCTCAAATATACATACTGCTTTCCCAGTATTATGATAAAATAATGTTGGATTTCTAATTTTACTGTTCCCTATTTGATATGGTTTGGCTCTGTGTCCCCACCCAAACCTCATCTCGTAGCTCCCATAATTCCCACGTGTTGCGGGAGGGACCTAGTGAGAGATAACTGAATCATGGAGACTGGGCTTTCCCGTGCTGTTCTTGTAATAGTGAGTAAGTCTCACAAGATCTGATAATTTTAAAAACAGGAGTTTCCCTGCACAAATTCTCTCTTTGCCTGCTGCCATCCATGTAAGACATGACTTGCTCCTCCTTGTCCTCTGCCACAATTATGAGGCCTCCCAAGACATGTGGAACTGTAAGTCCACTAAACTTCTTTTTCTTCCCAGTCTCAGGTAAGTCCTTATCAACAGCATGAAAACGGACTAATACACTATTCCTACATTTAGTTCATTTGCTATTCCAAAAAGCTGCCCCATGCATTTCCATCCTCAAGTTAGCTTATACTATCTTTCTTTCGCCTGCTAAACTTTCCACCTCCCTCTATGATTGTCATAACTCTCCTTTAAGATCCATTTATGGCATTTATGATGCTACATGTTCTATGAGGTCATCTTTGAGATTCAATACTAGGCATTTTCTTTCATTAATTCTTAGTGCATTTTTAAAAATCTCTCTCTCTGCCTCTTCCTTTTATGTATTTGTTTTTTGAGTTTACAACTATCCACCCTGCATCACAGATTTTATTAATGTCTTGTACCTGTTAACCTCTAAGATCAAGAATAGTGTACACAAATTTATATCCCTTGCAACAATTGGCATATGTGTTTAATTAAGTAAAATAAACAAATAACCACAAATTCATTACAGATTTCATTGCAGCTATAAGGAAATACTCTCTCTTGATTTATCTGGATATCAAAATAAGTGTAACATCTTTCTAAAGATTGCTAAACTGTGGTATAACAAAGTTCCTTTAAAAAAGTTTGGGACAGAGGTCTTCAGTCACGTTGTAGTCCCTCAGATGGATTGCTCTTACCTGTGGAAAGAAGCATAAAATGTTCTATTTTGTTAGGGCAACAGTATTTGAAGGATTTAAATTGAACATCATGAGTAAAATTCTCAAGTGATTGTACTTACCTGTAAGTTAACCTCTGCCAAGATTTCAATTCTCAAATTCTTTAGCTCAAGATGAAGTATGGCTTTCAAAGTGAAGAACAGATAAGATAACATCTTTGATGCATTAAGTGCTTTGTGGTTTTCTTGGTACTTTATTAAAAGGTATTTCAAGTAGAAAATACCTTCATCGGGTAATCATACAATGTACAGAAAATATTGACATTTTGTTATTTGCATATACTTTTGAGAAATCATTTGAAATATTTTGAAATTCAAAATTAATTGTTGGCCATGTATAGAGTTTTACAACAGTACTCACTACTTTTTATATACCTATATAATGATATATGTAAAATATATATGTAGTTACAAAGGAATATGAAAGTTGTACTTCACAATTTTTGGTTAATCTTGCAAATGTTATCAACAAACCCATTCTCTGTGGTCACTATTGCTCGTTTAAGAATATTTACTTAGGCCAGGCATGGTGGCTCACGCCTGTAATCCCAGCACTTTGGGAGGCCGAGGCAGGTGGATCACGAGGTCAGGAGATCGAGAATATCCTGGCTAACACAGTGAAACCCCATCTCTACTAAAAATACAAAAAATTAGCCAGGCGTGGTGGCGGACACCTGTAGTCCCAGGTACTCAGGAGGCTGACACAGGAGAATGGTGTGAACCCAGGAGGCGGAGCTTGCAGTGAGCTGAGATTGCACCACTGCACTCCAGCCCGGGGGACAGAGCGAGAAGCCGTCTCAAAAAAAAAAAAATAAAAGAGAAAAGAAAAAAAAGGAATATTTATTTTAATGTCAGACTGGAGCAACAAATGAAATATAATCTAAAATGTGGACATATTACCAATTTCATTAGGTGCCACTGTACAAGCTCATAGTCTCAGGTTGATCAGCCATCAACAAAATTCAGGAACCAAATGTGGACACAACTTTTGGAAGCAATATTGTTCTAAGATGCTACCTTGTTTTTTTCAGTCATAACTTCAATCATGGCAAACAAAATGCTGAATTAAATGAAGTCTGAATTTCAATATTTGGAGACGTAAACCAATGTGAATTTGTTTAGTCATTGTTACAAATTATTAGTAACACCACTGAAATGTTATTCTTAAAATTTCTACAAAAACAATTTATACTTTTGTGTCACTATTCTACCTATCTTGATTGATCCTGTCTTTCCTCTGACATCCACCTCTTACAGCCTTTGTCTTTAAGTACTTTCTAACATGACAAAACACAAGTATGTCTGAAAGCAAATACATCAGTGAACATAACTTTTATGTTTCCCACTTTCTAGCCATCTGAGTCAATTAATGGATTTGAGTGTTAACTTTGAAAAAAATCAAAATAGAAAAGTAAAGAAGTGACATAAGTTTCTAAATAACCCTTGAACATGCTGAGGACCAAGCACATTCCTGTCTCAGGACCACCCCATTTGTCTTTCCCTCTGCCTTTAATACTCTTAACTCTAGATTGCTGCATAGGTCCCCCAGGACCATACTTAAATGTCATTTCCTCATAGTCTTCTTCAATGACCACCCTATATAATAAGCCTCCATTTCCCTATCTCCTTATTGTGCCATAATTTTTATTCATTGCATTTATTATCTCTCATTATATTCCATAATTATATATTTGTTACCAATCTCTTTCATTAGAAGGTAGCTGGAGGGCAGGAGTTTTTTTTATGTGTGTGTGTGTGTGTGTGTGTGTGTGTGTGTATCTATTACCCAAAAAAGGAACTGAAAATGCTGGTGATAAATAAACATAAATTGAATAAATGAATGTGACCACAATATCAATTTTATCCTATAGGACAATTCAAGTCTATATGATCAAATGCACAGACACTTGTGATTTCTCTCTCTTCCACAATTATATGGGAAAAATACAAGAATGAATTCAACCGTCCATTACGAAACAAATTATTTAATGCTATTACCGTATCTCTTATTATAAATATAAGAAAACATTTATTGAACTGCATTAATAAGTCACTGTTGTCATGGATCTTCTGTAGACATTTGGGAATGGTGATTATCAGTGCTGTGCATAAACATTTTCTTCCTACCCTCTCTTGAGGACTCTAACTTGATTGTTCCATGAGCTCCACTGCAATCTGATCTCCCATTGTCAATCTCAAATTGTCCCTCATCCTTTACTTTTCACATAAGCCTCTAGCTATGAGAGGAATAGGTTTTTATACTCTTTAAGTAACTAAGATTTTGTACTAAAATGAAAAAGCATTACTTTGGCAGAAAGCACAATACTTGGAAAGGAGCACCAATATGAGAAGGGTGAAAACTCAGCTCTTGTCAGCCATCAAGTGTGTGAGTGGGGATTTTGGGTTTTATGATTGTTCATAACGAACTTGGAAATTTTCCACATTGTGCCACATATCTGATACAGTTGAAAATAAGGTTCACCTTTAGTGGCAATATAGGGCAGCCACTTAACTTTTGGCTTTCACAAGAAATATTTTGTTGTATACACTTCCCTTTAATATATTTTAGGTGTTTTTAAAAATATAATCCTCATAAAAAAATAAATTACATAAGACAATGTTGATAAATGTTATCACTCATTTTAAGTAAAACAGATATTAAACAAAGAGTTAAGTCAAATTGGAAATATTAAAGTTAGACAACACTAGATATTTAGCATCTTGATTTTTTATCATGGCACAGAAATTTTTTTCCATTATAATAGCAGATGTAAGAAACTCCACTATTTTAATAAGCTGTTGAAACTCGTTATGTTGTCTGCTAACCGGAAAATAGTACTTAAGAAATTAGTTTGACCTCTCTGGTGGAAAATGTGCCAAGAATGTGAACAGGCAGTTCAAAAAGTAAAAACATAAAAAACCAATACACATAAAATAATGTTTACCTACAAGTAATTCCCCCTCAAATGCAAGCCAAAACTCAAAAGATATCATGTACTAGCTAATAGACTGCAAGGATACGTATCAATGGTTAAGCCCATTTTTTCTATTGTTGAAAGAGTGAGGGGATGGGTGTTTACATATCCTGTTGGGGGGAGAAAAAATGGAACTATATAAGGCAATTTGAAAATATTTTTAAATCTTAAAGCTGCACAACTTTGAACTAACAATATCGCTTTTAGAAACTTACTCTAAGGTGATAAAGAATTGCGTTAATACCCACATATATGTATGTGTGTGTGTGTGTGTATATATATATATTTACAACAGAGTTATAAAATATTCCTATATCTTTTTAGGTGAGTATGCAAATATTATTAGATAATTGTATTTATAATATAAAATATTGCAAACCACCCAGACTTACAAAACCAGAAGGTTACTAGAACTTTCATTGAAGTTATAGGGATGATGTTATTCTACAATTATTAATTCAGGAGACATTCACAGAAATAATGAATTGAAAAAGCAGGTCACAGAACAGTACATATAAAGCGATTATATTTTTAGACATAAAATCTCATTTCCATAACAAAAGTGATATTTTATGTATACACAGAGAAAATAAGCTGAGAGGATATGTGGTAAAACATGAACAATGGTTCTATTTGAATGTTACAGTTAAGGATGATTTCTTAATCTAATTATTTTTGCTCTTTAGTTTTCTGAATCTGGGTTCATTTTGCTAAAATATGTATTTAAACAGCACTTTGAAACATTGCCTAAAAAGTAAACAAGACAATATTCTGGTTGGAGGTTATGTATTATACTTCATTGTTTGGGAATGAACTGTGCTTAGGTGTATCTATGATATTGGAAAGCTGTTAGTGAATAAAAAGAAGAAGTATATGTGAGACAGTCCATATTTCTGCTAATTTTCTACTTTTACTTTCTGGATAGAGAAAAGTTACAGCATTAATGGGGGTCATTATTGCCCAAGTTGCTCCTGTTAGAAGAGAGACATATGAAGAATTACATTAAAGAAGTTTGGTCACTAAGTAATGAGTACTATACTTTAGGTTTGGTAATGAGTACTGTACTTTAGGTAAAATATTGGTTAATGAGAGTGACTAAATAATGTCCAGCAAGGTAAACACCAGCTTGCAAGTACAAGCAAGTCTAAATACCAGAATTTGACAACAGTGGAGATACAGGTACTTTCAGCTCCTGGTTCTGAGATTTCCACTGCTAACACTACTATTACTGTAACAAGCAAATTGATTAAATAATCACAAAAACCATTCCTAACGTTTATAGGGCACAAAATTGTTTTCTAGGACTCTTCACTTTTCCTTGAGGGTCTATATCCAAATAATTACCCAATCTTGTCTTTTTGTTTTGTGTTGTTTTATTTTCACTGGACGTTTCAAAAATATTCCTTCCTTCTTTCCATTTTCATATCCATTACATAAGCTATTTATTGCCTTAGTCTAGGATTTTGACTCTAAGCCTCTAAATTTGACCATTTCCTCTTTCAAATCCCTTTGTCAGGTTTTCCCTGGATACGTTTAACATGTCAATTTTATCCTAGTATTTCCCTACTCCAAAGTCTACAGTGGATACCCAGGACCCACAAAGTGTAGTACAATTTCTGAAGGCTAACTGAAATTTTGTATCTTTGATCAATATCTCCCCTTTCTGTATCCAATCCCCTACTCCTGGCTTCTGGTAGCCACCATTGTACTCTACTTCCATGAGTTCAACACTTTAAGAATCTACATACAAGTGAGATCATGCAGCATTTGTCCTTCTGTGCCTCGCCATTTTACTGAGCATGTGATAAATATATACTGTCTATTTCAAAACTACTAAAAGGATTTTAAATGTTTTCACCACAAAGAAACAAGTATGTGTGGTGATAGATTTTCGTCAATTAGTTTGACTTAATCATTCCACAAATGTAAACATATGTTAAAACATCACATTGTACCCCATAAATACATAATATGTTCAATTAATATTATTTAAAATTTTTAATTAAAAAAATTAACCTGGAGAAGGTCGCATTCCATACTCTTTGTAATCAAACTATCTTCTAATCATTTCACCAAATTGTAGGCACTCAAAAACATCTTTCAATTTTCTCCCTCAATAAATATTACTGTTAGTCTTGAAATATCACAAATCCTTCCTTCAGACCATTCAAATTCTCCCAGTTTTATAAGATCCCCAAAAAATGCCCTGACCACTGGGGACCTCTGACCAATCATTTTCTGCACAATTAATTAAGCAATTAAACATGGCAATTTCATACACTTTGCTTATTATAGTTTATTATTGTATTGAACTGTTATTTAAATATTTTATGATTAACTTTTCATATGCTTGTGACTTATCTCTCTACCTATATTACCAACTTCCTAAGATTAGGTACTGGGTTTTATATCAGTGATCTTCAAATTGATGTATGAGTACTTCTAGGAGGTATAGGAAGCCTTTTAAAAAACATTTTCAAGATGCTCAAATTCCACATGTACTGTTGTCTGAAATTATCTCCCAAGAATCTGACCTTTCCAAAAAGGCCAAATTTTTACAAAACACAAAAATGAAGAAAGCCAAACCTCTCACCCATTCAGCATCTTATGTTTTGTGTATTGCGCACAACTCCTCCCCACACCTACCTGTTTTTCTCTATCTCTTTCACTGCCAGATTTTCGTTGTATCTAGGATAAAAGCCCCTACTCTGACCTCAGGCTTCCCATGATGTAGTTTCTGCCCACTGTCTCCAACCTCATCTCAGACCATGTCCTAAACTCTGGGTGATTTCATGTCTCAGGGGTTTTCTGTTAACTTTTTCCTCTGCCTGAAATACTAACTTATGCTTTATTTTTCAACTAATTTTTTCTCACTCCCCGGGTTTCAGCCTAAAGCTCTTACTCTCTGAGAGACATGTTCTCACTCTCAATCCAATTTAGGTCAATCTATTATTTTATCTCCTGACACCCTCCATGATGTCTTTGCAGCGCTTATCACAGTTTCTATTTATTTGTGTAATTATGTAATGTTTGTCTCCCCCAAACCCTGAGCCCATGAGCAAAGGAGCTCTTCACTCTCCTGACACATCCCCGTGCCTGGCACTGTGCCTTACATGAACGAAGTGCTCATAAAGTACCTACTAAGGAAGTGAAAGAGTATATGTTAAAGCCTATATTGAATCTAAAAGTAAGTCGATTTAAAAAATAAATGAACCTTGGAAATCATGGAAACCAAAGCCATGATCTCATTCGCAAGAGAGAGAAGGAGCTCAGGTGTCACATTTAGTGCCAAACAAAGCACTCTGAATTCTAGTCAAATCATTTTTTAAAATATCTTTTAATTCTGCTTTCTTGTTCACACCATCAAACAAATATCCATTGACAGGACAGCAACCTTGGAAGTACCCTTAAATTATTAAGTTCAAGCCTTATTAATTCCAATTTTAATTAAATTGATGAGATACATATAGTTGTAACTATCTTGCCTCAGTATTTCTGTGTCCAGAATTGGTGGGTTCTTTGTCTCACCGACTTCAAGAATGAAGCCGCAGACCCTGGCGGTGAGTGTTACAGTTCTATAAAGGTGACGTGTCCGGCGTTTGTTCCTTCTCATGTTCAAACATGTTCAGAGTTTCTTCCTTCTGGTGGGTTCGTGGTCTCGCTGGCTTCAGGAGTGAAGGTGCAGACCTTTGCGGTGAGTGTTACAGCTTTTAAGGCAGTGCCTCTGGAGTTGTTCATTCCTCCAGTCCAGAGTTGTTCACTCCTCCCAGTGAGTTCGTGGTCTCGCTGACCTCAAGAGTGAAGCTGCAGACCTTTGTGGTGAGTGTTACAGCTCATAAAGGCAGTACAGACCCAATGAGCGAGAAGCAACAAGATTTATTGCAAAGAGCAAATAAACAAAGCTCCTACAACGTGGAAGGAGACGCAACCTGATTGCCGCAGCTGGTGCTGCAGCCTGCTTTTATTCCCTTATCTGACCCCACCCACATCCTGCTGATTGGCCCATTTTACAGAGAGCTGGTTGGTCCATTTTACAGAGAGCTGATTGGTCCATTTTACAGAGCGCTGATTGGTCCGTTTTGACAGGGTGCTAATTGGTGCATTTACAATCCTCTAGCTAGACAAAAGTTCTCCAAGTCCTCACCAGATTAGACACAGAGCACTGATTGGTGCCTTTACAAACCTTGAGATAGACAGGGTGCTGATTGGTGTATTTACAATCCTTTAGCTAGACCATCCTGGCTAACACAGTGAAACCCTGTCTCTACTAAAAATACAAAAAAATTAGCTGGTAATTGTGGCGGGCACCTGTAGTCCCAGCTACTCCGGAGGCTGAGGCAGGAGAATGGCGTGAACCCAGGAAGCAGAGCTTGCAGTAAGCAGAGATCGCACCACTGCACTCCAGCCTGGGCGACAGACCAAGACTCTGTCTCAAAAAACAAAACAAAACAAAAAAAAAACTAGTAATAGAAGTGGTAGTAAATGGGACTATGTGCTTACCTAGTTGGTCTTCCAGGGAAATAACCATTAAGGGACTCTTTCATATCACATTATTTCAGAAGGGCTTTTTAGGTGTTGTATAAACTGTTTATAATAAAAGTAGGGAAGAGGAGGAAATCTGTACTGCCACAGAGAATACCCTGAAATAATTGGTATCAGTTATGATTGAGGACTTGCATGCCAGGACTTAAGGGAGGAGTCTAGGAGCCACTACAAAAAAGAAAATCATCCCATTCAGTCACCTTCAATTTAGAGAGATAACTATATAGGACATTATCACTGGATAGAATCAGATAATGCAATGTAAAGGAAGCATATAATTCTTTTAAAACCTTTGAGATGATAATTAAAAAAATCAAAACATGATCATTTCATTGTATGCTCAATATGATAAAAGGGAAATCTCTAGCTCTTCAGATAGAGGAACAGTCCTATATTCACATGGAAAATTCCCAACAGGAAATGAGAACTTCAGTATCCTGTGGTTTAAATGTTATACATGAAAGTATAATACTTATTATTTGTATGCAAACTACATACATTACCAATATTGAGTCACTACTTCAAAGTATGTTTTTGAAATACCTTGGGACTCTACAATCTAAATATATTTTTCCTTGTGGTTGTAATAGAGCAATTACTGATAATCTCCATAATTTTCTGTAGAAGTAAGATCCATATTATGTCCCAGGTTTAGAAAAAGCATTAGAGAATATTCATGAAATGAATGGGAATGTAACATTTCTAAATCAAAGTCAAATAACCTTTAAGAGAACATAAAAGCTTGCTAACGGCTCTAGTTTATCAACACCTAGGAGAACAAAATACTGTACAAGGAAGGATTCATAGATTCCACATAAGCAATTAGGAATGGATTATTATAGTCACAGACCTGTGTACATAAAAATCTCGATGTAAGTTGCCTAATGAAATAAAAACTATAATTATGGTAATACTTAAATATGTATCCAATATTTTGTCGACTCTTGTATGGAACAGATGAATATGATCATTGTTTTTACTACTTTAAACTGAAGCACACACATAAATGAAACAAAGGGTGTTTTATTCATTTATTTCAAAAAGCTGATTAAAAGCTAGCCATTGAAAGACAGAGCTACCTTCCAAAACACTAAAGTGTTCCACAGTGAACTGTAATTTCTGAGAGGCTATGATTTCTGGTGTCAGAGACTAAATTCCCATAGCCACTTGTTCCCGACTGACTCTCTTTGGCTTGAATGGTTGGCTTTTATTAGGATTTTTGTCATGACTTATCCCCAAATATCCACACTTACTAAATGCAAAACTACAAGAAGAGAAAGAATGTGTCTTAGTCATCCGTGTACTCGTGAGTACACTGCCTTGCATGCCAATGTATATTCAGGGAATATATACTGAATTGAATATAGTTCAGCTACTCAATATCTACAAACTGGGCATCTACTACATGCCAGCATTGTACTAAATGTGGAAAAAAGGCATATATTGAAGGTGGAAAATCAGATACAAGACTTAATAAATAGGTTGGCATTTGAGAGAGATCACTCTGCAACACACGGAAAATATGAGAAGGAGGCAAGATTTGTATTTTATCAGTCACATAACTGTGGATTTGATGCTAAATATGTAAAATATCCAATGTATAGTATTTATTTGAAAAAAAAAAACTTTATAAGGAATGGTAGTTTAAAACCTGGGGGTATACCTGGGTTAAGCTGCTTGCCCCAGATCTCTTCACTAGGCAATATAACCATCCTATTAGCCCTCCTAGAGCATAGTACTTACCTGGCAAAGAGGGAAAACTGTTTCTAATCATAGTTTCCAACCAACAAATGACCACTTAAAAAAACATAAAAAATAAAATTTTTCTCACCGACTTTTTAATGACTTGTAAAATTTATACAAATAGGGCTGAATTTTTTATTAGCTTTATATTCCTTTATATTCCTTGGCCTCTTTTTTAAAGTAAGAAATACATTTATATGAGAAAAAGAAAAACATCAACAATGACTAGAATATGATAGGCAGCCAATATTTGTAGAATGAATTTGTGAATGAACTATATATATTAATTTGTTTTGGGGGACAATAGCTCTGTTGGCTTTTTTCCTGGAGATGCTCTGTGGAAAAAAGCCCCACCTTTCATTTGAATTGCAAAGTTCAATTGCAAAGTTCCCTCTGGCACCTTCCATAAATGACTTCCTTATAAAGTACAAACCCCTTGGGGAGCATTGACCCAGAAGTTATTTACGCTGTAGTATGAATTAGCTTCAGGAGTCCCTCAGGATTCACAGCACATCCAGCAAGCTTGAATAGGAGTGTTGCTAGATGGAATGGAGAGGGATGTTTTGGAGGGTGGGATGGCAAAAAAGGTAATTTTTTAAACTTATTGCAAAAGAAGTTTTGTCAGTCTAAGAGTTTTTACACTTAAGAAACAAATTTGACTTGCATGTTATTTCCTTTATTAAAGTGACAGTAGCATATAGTTGTATAGGAAAGGAAGGAAGCTATTTATTTGAAACTGATACCATAGGCCATCTGTAACACTGCAACTTGTCATGCCTGGCTTTAACTGCAGGAATTACTAGCAGATGGAGGCAGACTGTAATTCTGATTCACCCTTGCCCAGCTGACTGACCAAAAGCCATCAGCCAGTTCTCTGCAGTACACTCCCCTTATCCCAGGCAGTGGCTGCCTTATCCGAAGTCAGAAGTCAGGATTGTCTCCTGATTCAGTAATCTCTCCACTTTAAACAATTCGCAAGCAATCTGACCATGTCTCGCTATTATTATCAAGGTGTCATGACACACAAAATTCTATTTTATTAAAATTGGTTTATGTCTCACAATTTATTTGGCTGCCATATAGACACATTTTGATGCAATTGGTCTGGGTTAAAGTGCTAGTGGAAAGAGTGAAAGCCTCATATCTGCTTTGATTCATTTGTTCAGAATCTTTTTGAACATAAAGATCAACTGATGCTGCCAAATGACTTGGATGAGGCATCAGCTAAAATGTCTGTCAAGGCATGAGGCTTATAGTAACTCTGCCCTCCTTGGTTGGAACTGGGATCTAAGCAATTTGATCTGAAAAATCACAGACCAGAGTGCACTTCCTAAAATGATAAGCTCAGGTATGGGGGTGTGACTCATGTTGCAACAAAGAAAGTTCTCCCTGAAACTTTCCCCAAGACCACTAGAAAGATGCACACACACATGCTTTTTTTCTATCAGGCATGCTGGTCAGGAGTGGTGGAAACCTTTTTTGCTACCAGTTGGGGGAAAACATTTACTGAGAATAAAAAGCAACAAAAAGTAGGCCAGGCGCGGTGGCTCACGCCTGTAATCCCAGCACTTTGGGAGGCCGAGGTGGGCGGATCACGAGGTCAGGAGATCGAAACCATCCTGGCTAACACGGTGAAACCCCGTCTCTACTAAAAATACAAAAAAATATACAAAAAATTAGCCAGGCGTGGTGGTGGGCACCTGCAGTCCCAGCTACTGGGGAGGCTGACGCAGCAGAATGGTGTGAACCTGGGAGGCGGAGCTTGCAGTGAGCCGAGATCCTGCCACTGCACTCCAGCCTGGGGGATAGAGCGAGACTCTGTCAAAAAAAAAAAAAAAAAAAAAAAGCGACAAAAAGTAAAGCAGAAAAGAGAAATGGAGAATCAGACTTCTGACATTATTGGAGCACCTATTTCCAGACATTCAAGCCTCTAAAAATTTCAGTTAATTGGTCAATAAATCATTTATCTTGCTTATGCCATGATATGGTTTGGCTCTGTGTCCCCACCCAAATCTCATCTTGTAGCTTCCATAATTCCCATGCACTGTGAAAGAGAGCCGGTGGGAGATGCTTGAATCATGGGCACAGGTCTTTCCTGTGCTGTTCTCCTGATAGTGAGTAAGTCTCACGAGATATGATGGTTTTAAAAATGAGAGTTTCCTTGCACAAGCTCTCTCTTTGCCTGCTGCCATCCATGTAAGGCATGACTTGCTCCTCTTTGCCTTCCATCATGATTGTGAGGCTTCCCCAGCCACATGGAACTGTAAGTCCAGTTAAACCTCTTTCTTTTGTAAATTGCCCAGTCTCAGGTATGTTTTTATCAGTAGTGTGAAAATGGACATACATGCCATTTTGAGGGATTCAGGCAAATAGAAAAATGTGACAAAAACTGAAATGGTCACAGAGTACCCATACTTTTGGATACTGTCTTCATGGAACTACATGACTTTTACAACACAAATTAACAGATTATCCATTTCTCTATAGGGAAAGGATGTTTATAGATACTGATCAAGTTTTCTTAATGTAAATAGCACAAACACAAATGTCTAAAACACAAAGCATGTTGTATACTTTGGATCCTGTCTAAAATATAAATTATTTAAATGATAACTAGGTATTAATTTTTTTTTTTACAATTTTGCCATCAGTAAAAATCACTGCAAATACTTTCCTTAGCAAAACTATTTAATATTTTATAGGGCCAAAATGAACAAATACACATTAGTCTTTAGGATCAGCTATATATAAACATGGTTTTAAATAAGTTATTTGAAATTTTATGTCTTTCTTATAATAATGAAGTAAACACAAAATAAAATCCTCTGAACTGAAATCAGGATAAAAATATTGGAACATTTTTCAATAAAAAGAAAAAGAAGTATTTTAAAAAGTTATCCTAAAAGATTTATTTAACTATATTAAAATCCAAATAGAGAAAAATAAAAGAAAGTAATTTTAAGTTTAATATAATGAAAAAGTTAATCATACAGCAACAGGAATTATAGTTGTAGAAAAGCTGACATGAGTCTCTGTAAAAGTTAAGCACTCATATTCCATTAAACATAATAGATTCTAGCCTTGATTATATATCTTAATGAAGTTATTCATATATGGCCTGATCTTGATTAGGTACTTGGCTAGTGAAGCAAAATTGGTTGACCTCATTTTTTAAAAAAAGAAAACAAGATAGGAGTGATAGATCAGACTAATCGGTCAGTTATTCAGCAAAATGTATCTTTTGTGATGATTATTCTAGTTAGCAACTAAGATGGACTATTAAAAAAAGTCCTTGATATAAATTGGTTTTATATTGTACTTGCCCTTTCATCTCTCACTATACATAAATGTAAAGTATTTTTAAACCAATAAATTGCAAGAAGAAAGATAATGTCTTTGTTTTCAATACTTTAGAAAAGATTTTCAGATATGTCTAATTAGCCCAGATCCATTAAAATTGGAGATGTGCTGAGAACAAAGGTCCTTTAGGAATATCCATTTGGAAGAACCCCTGCCTTCAATGAAAGTATAACTGTGAACAAATGGCCATGCAAATGATGGACTTTTTATAAACCTAAAGTAGCCTTATGTGAATATGAAAATACTTCTTAATGTTACAAATTATGAGATAGTGCAGTGCTTGATAAGCGATTGTTCTGAGTCTAAATAAAAAAAAAATCCTAAATTCTTTATTTTGAACATATACACTATTCATCTTGTTTTTCTAAATGGTGGCAAGTATCTATAACTGTTCTCAAATGCTGCCACCTAAAGGTTAAAGTTGGGTATAGACTAATAATGTCTAGAAACAAAAAAAAAGTACGTAGATTATTTATAAAGAATCCAATCATATAATTTTACCCATTAATTTACACATAAATTTATCTTGCTGAATATTTTCTGAAGGGAACTATAAAGGCTACCCATTAAGTAATTAATGAATATTTTATCAAGGACTTAAAAGAAAAAAGTCAAGAGATATGTGGATCAAAATAATACTAATACTAGTAATAAAACTTAAAAAGATGATTTATAAGATGTGTTTCAAAATAAAATGTTTGAAGTATTTATTTGCTGATTAAACATTTAAAATTAACATATAGCCACTTGAGCCCTAGTTTTTTCAATGCATTATGGGTGTGTACAAAATATTTATAATTTTGAAAAAAATCAGTAAGAGCCATACCTGTAAACTAGTTAAAACCATCAATAAAAAGAAAACATGGCCATATGCTAAAAATACATAACAGTTTGTAAATATTTTGCAGAAGATAAATACCCAGTTCTAATCAAGTTGACTAGGATGTAACCAGAGAAAGACAATACATAAATGTAACTGTTTACTTAATGAATTGAAATGTTGCTTTTGGTACATCCATAAAAAGAAAGTATTTAGCACTGTTTATTCATCATTGACCATAAAGACTAACAATATATGGAAAACAAAATATTTTGGTCAAAAAAGCCATTCTAGGAATAGACTAGAGCTGATTTCCTATAAGAAAAGTAAACTATCCATCCATTCACACAATCTAGCAATCCTTTTTGCTGCGACTATATATTTAGCAAAATCTTCTAGTAATAATTTCAAGTCCCAGGCACTTTCTATGAAAGCGTGGACTAGTGTCACCTTTCAGAAATCAACAAAATACTGCTTTCACTTCTGTGCTTTGGTCTTATGAGTTTAGTTTAAATGAGTCTATTAATCACAGCCTGATCATCTCTTTGTTGACTAATACGCTTCAGTTTCAATACTTAGAAAGAAGGCTCCATCTATCCCACCAAGACACAGCTCCCGTAGGGAGTCCTTCACAAGGCAGCAGTTCACATTTCTGTCTGACATCTTTTTACCTGTAAGTCATCTTGTATATGTGTATAGTAATAACTAGACAGGACGTTCCTTAAGAGCTGAGACTGTGTCTGTCTGATTGGTATCCTTAATACATATTTATTGATTGAATAAGTATTTAAATTATTTATATTTAAAATTAAGAGTAGCCGAATTATATATGAATATAAATGTTTTATAATAAAAATTAATATTTATATTCCAAGTAACTCCCACTAAGATTCATTCTAGTTTATGCTTTAGCATTAAATTGAAAACACTAACAATTAATCTTAAACATACAGTATATGGATGACAACAGCACTTATAATCATATGGGGGAAATATGGTATACATTAATAGGCTTTCTCCTTCTCATTCTATGTAAGTTTTTTAAAAAATTAAAATTCCTCTCTAATAATACATTCTCAGGAAAAGGTGTCACTTCTTAACACCAAAATTATTTACTTGAAGTAAGGTCATTTGTTTTTATTTTTTTTATGTGATTAAAATATTGTAAATATAGTTGATATTTAAAATACTGTAATACTTTGGGATCTACAAGGCCTGGTTACCGTTCTCATTTCCTTATCCTTAAAATGGCAATAATAATGCCGTTATCCTAGTAATACTGTGTCAGCATAATGAAACAAAATAAAATCTCAGTAAATAATAGTCATACATCAGGAATAAGAAAAGTCCAGTACTAAAATTTAAACTATTTCTTATAGTTTTAACTAGGCATGTGCATTTGTTGCTAGATGTGATCTTAAGATCACATTATTAGTAATTAGCTAGGGGAAAACATCTGTTTCTATCTGCAATGGCTCACTTTCATGCTTCCCTTTTAACCTTACCAAATATATCAGCTGATTTAGGCAAGTATTTATATGAAAGGAAGTTAAGACCCAACATTCTATTCATAATTTTGTTTCGGGAAAGGAAAGGTAAGGGGAGGGGAGGGGAAGGGAGGGGAGGGGAGGGGAGGGCAGAGGGAGGGGGAGAGGAAGGGGGAAGGAGAGGGGCCGGGGGAAGGAAGGAAGGAAGGAAGGAAGGAAGGAAGGAAGGAAGGAAGGAAGGAGAAAGAAATGAAAGAAGAAAGAAAGAAGGAAAGAAAGGAAGGAAGGAAGGAAGGAGAAAGAAATGAAAGAAGAAAGAAAGAAGGAAAGAAAGGAAGGAAGGAAGGAAGGAGGAAAGAAAGAAAGAAAGTAAATGCTTCATTTTTACCCAAACTGATGCTTGTGGTGGATTGTCATTAAGGCATTGAGGGGATATCAGTGAGGCACAGCTATCTGCACCCAGAGCATTTGCCCTACTACTAGAGCACTCTTTAAATTCAGGTTTTTGAAGAGCCAAATACCCAAAATTTTACTCTGTGAATCATGATTTTAAAATTATAAAGATATTCATATATAGACTGCTTAACTGAACAATCTAGTTGCAAATTCCATGAAAATAGCGAAGAGTTTGATACACAGTCATCAGTGTTTAAAATTAATTAGTAGTGGCTTTACTTGAATTCCATGTATGGAATTCTGACAGTATCCAGCACTATATGTTTAAGCTACTAAAATATTAACATTGGTCTTAGTTTTCTTAAAGTCATATGGTTTTTCTTTAAGCTATATAAATAAGATTTTCAAAAATGCTATTTAGTAAAATAGCATTTTACCAAATTTGAAGCTTAACACATGGATTCACTTAAAGCTAATTCAGGAAACAATGACAATTTTATTTATTATTAACTTCTAAAAGGCCAGAGTGTCAGCCACACTAAATGCCCTTTGATAAAAGAATGTTTTAAAGTGTGTTTGAGTCTATAATTCATAATTCTTAACCCATAATTCAAAATTCATAGTTATGAAGAATGTATAATTATAACAGTCAAGCCTAGATACTTGAGGAGTTACCTGTGAATGTAATAATAAATTATAAGGTCATAACATGTTATTTCCCAGAAGGTCATATTTTAAGATAATAGTTACAGCAGTAATATGCAAAATCGTGCATTTCATGCATACCGAAATCACATTTATAAATGGTAGCATTTATCATAGGTAAAATTATCCCATCATTTTAGAAAATCCTAATACTATCAACAGTGTCATACGGTGTGAAAAATATATATCATAAAAATTCCTAAAAGTCTAAAAGTCAAATTTTAGAGTTGGCACATACTGTAATGTGTGGAATATTAGCATCCAGAGATCTTCAGTGTTCAATCATTATAATTATACTATTTAACAACTAATATAAATTTAGAGCTTTCATTTAATATTTAGGATTTTCTGAGTTATGTTAACTAATCTGGAGAGAAGAAAGAATATATGCTAATTTTTTTATAAAATAAAATGTTCATCCAGGCATACAGAATTACCTTTAGGGATATGTAATATAAGCATTTTAAATATTTAATACAAACTCCTAGTAAAATGAAGTTATCATAATTTTACTTTCCTTCTTAATCCCTCACCCCAAGAATGAATATATTGTCAATACTGGAGAAGAAACTTAGATCATCTTGTAATGATATCGTACACTTTTCATTGTTGGAATTCATAGTCAATAATTTAAGGTTGAATGTTACATATTATTACTTTATATCATTGAAAATAACAATTGAAGGCATTGGTTAATCATGAAATTTCCCTCAGGATAAGCAGAATCTTTACTCACCATTTTTAATTTTCCTTATCTAGTCCTTTTTGCTAATGCACTGCCTCCTATCTTATCACTAGCACTTATAGAAATCACATCTGTTATATTAAATTTTGCCCCAGTTATTTCTTCCCCAGGGATTAATGGCATTACATCCAGGGGACTTTCATTAGCTTTCAGGGAGAAAAATACATGAAATATGGCCGTAATCCAAACTGCAATCTCACAGGAAGTAGCCAAACCTAAAACCAGAGTATGTTCACCTGCTATTTAGAAATGAGTGTCATCCATTGCTTTTGCTGAGACTGGCTTGGAATTATACAATGCTAGCATGTTTATCATATTACATATTAATACCACCTATTTTAAGACATCTTGAAGGATTTGTTACAATTTTAGTAATTGCAAACTCTTAATTCATAAATGGCTATCTCAGTTTTGGGTTTCAGCAATGCTGTTTTCCTAAAACCATCACATGTTCCAATTGCTAAGTTACAGAGAGGAACGTGTGTGGTTTTTGGGTTTGTGGAACTTGGAGAAGAATGTAGCCACTCTACATTAATGAATCTAAACAGCCAAATATTCAATACATTTCTCTCCTCTCCACTTTATCTGGCATTTTGTTGTTATTTTGTAAAATGGTCCTAGAGTGTTTGAGCTTGATCAGCAACAAAAAAATACATTAAAATTTTAACTAGATATTTTCCAGGTGTCTCCAAATGGGCCACTGACACAGAACCCAGAACTACTATGTCTTTCCTGTTCAGAGCAGCTAAGCACTAGGCAGTTTATTTGAAGTCTTATTTAGGGTTACATTTAAAGGCAAAGATAGCCACATAAACCGTAAAACAAGCTTGTACTACAGTTTTTGTGGATGTGTTATTTCAGTAATTATATACTGAATTCAAATGAGATAAAAGAAATCACAGAACTAATAAACCCATTCACAAGGGCCAATCATTTTGGTGTATACTGCATACAAACATTAAATCCTGGCAAACTCTCATCTGGAGAATTTAATAACACTATTACTTAAGGGAATTGAAGAAAGATGAAACATTTTAAAAATTACTACCAGCTCTTCAACAAATTGTTCAATTTCTGGTTTTTCTTCTTATACGTTTCCTTTTTAAAAATCACTTTTAGTTGTTTTTTCCTCATCAAATAATACCTTTTTTGACAATTTTTATCTTCACTTTCCCCATATTTTCTATTTTTCTTCTTAATAAAAACTTAGCTATTGCATTATGTAAAATAAATACAACAGGTAGCCAAGTCACTACACAGTATTTCTGCAGGCAAACAAATGCTAACTAAGGCTGGCAAAGACTTGTCTTCAAAAAAATTATCATTTTCTACAACCTGACAGGAGTAATTAGCTGTTGCAAATACTGTAAACATTGCCTGTACAATATTTGGAATTATGGTACACTTTCCATCCTTCCAACTGCTCTCCAAATCTCAAAGTCTTACATGTCTGTTTACACACTTTATTTATTTGAAAGTTACAGCAAGAGAAAATTAATTTATAACTTAATCACAAAAACCGTAAGACAGTCATATCAATGAAAAAATATTTGTTACACAAAATTTTAGCAAAAGTTTAAGTATCAAAGATGACCTTATGAAGAAATAAACCTAATCAAAGAAAGAATAGACTTAACTCCAATGAAATATTATTCATTCCACAAAAATGTTCTTTCTCGCCTTTAGGTAGATTTTAGGGAGATAAAACATTTAATTTGATTAGAGGATAATAAATTATTACCCTCATTAATGTCATTAATGATTAAGACATATGCTCAATATTTCTTTTTATGTATGACTTTAAAGCCCTTTTTGTCAGAAAATAGACTAATGCAAGTGAATAACTCTCTTAATCCTTTATTAAAAACTTCAAATGGAAGAATGTTTTTAGAGAAAGAGAGCTTCCTAGTTGGTGCAGGGAGTCAAGTCAACTTAAAATACAAATTATGGAAAAAGGACATTTGGGAACACACATGTTAAACTTTGTGGCAAATAAGCTTATCAACAAGAAAAACATGCTATAAATGCTTGTTTATATTCACAAGGAGTTTTTTTAATGAGTACAAAATTGATTATATGAACAATCAGAAAAAGGGAATCTTTATTCCCCCATGCAATCAGCACAATTCTAAACGAGACCATTAAATTTGCCTAAGTTAAATAATATTTTGAAAGGGAATTAATGCAAGTCTTCACACTTTACCCCTATTTCCCCTCAGTCATCTGTTTCTAGCTTCTCAAAATGTTAATGTTAATTAAGCATTTTTCAAATATAAATGGAAAAAAATAAATTCTTCATCCTCCTTGTAATAGACAACTGAGGATGGAAATCTTAAATGCTTTTTCTATCTGCACAAGTTCTTAAAGAAGTAAAGTTGTTCATAAGAATAAAACAATTCTTTTTTTATCATTTCTGTCTCTGATCTTTTATATGCTGGGACTGACTTTTCCATCCGCCTTAGTACATTCCTCATATTCAAGACCATGTTGTCCAAGAGAAGGGTAAGTTTACAAAAGCCGAAGTTGCAGGGACTTTCACTCAAACACTTAGAAAGAAATGAAGAATTAAATGAATAGGGCTCTATAAGCAGAAGCTAGATTAGTGTCAAGCCACAGAAGGACCTATCCTTTGAGCAGGCTACTCTGCATCTCACCTTCTAAAGAGTGGTTTAATAACATAGCAATCAGACTGAGTGTAAAATTTGCCAGGCATTCTTCTAAACACATCACAGATATTTACTGGTCTAGCCTCATGAAACCCAACGAGGCAGGTATTATTTCTCTCCTCATATTAAACATGAGGAAACTAAATCTCAGAAATGTTCAATAACTTGCTCTGAATCACAGAGTGGGCAAGTGGCTAAGCTGGGATTTGAACCCATGCAGACTGACTCCAGAGACAACACTTTAACCACTACACTTCATTGTCGGATAACTCGGGGGATCAATAATGACTCAATGTTTTCACCTGTGAAAGATGGATTAACTCAAGGGTCAAAAGCTCAAATGTCTTTGGATGCTATGAGGGTAGTAAATAAATTTAGCAAACGGTCTGAGATAAAAAGGATAATAGGAGCTGTGGAAACTTGATGAAAAAACAACTAATGGCTAGATAAGACCAATGTATTTCCAAGCTCCTCTTGATTTTTCAAGACATGCTGATAATAAAGAATTCTATGTAAAATTTCCAAATGATTAAAATACTAAATAGTCCAAGTACAACTGTGATTTAATGCGGCTCCTGAGCCACCAGTTGGTGACTTCTCAACCAGATGAGTTCTAAGAATTTTTTCAGAGTCATTGCCCTATTACTCATCTATAATATCCATGTAGCAGTATATCTAACAGCCAGTCTTCATGCGAAATAATGCTACTGGTTTCTGATATAGGATATTCAGTAAAAATCATGTGGCTAACTATATTAGGAAAGATAAGTTTGGCTTCCACATTATAAGAATGTTGCCTTTCGGCTGGGCACAGTGGCTCACACCTGTAATCCCAGCACTTGGGGAGGCCAAGGCAGGCGGACTACTTGAGATCAAGAGTTCGAGACAAGTCTAGCCAACATGGTGAAATCCCGTCTCTACTAAAAATACAAAAATTAGCCAGGCATGGTGGCCTGTGCCTATAATCCCAGCTACTGGAGAGGCTGAGGCAAGAGAATCACTTGAACCTGGGAGGTGGAGATTGCAGCAAGCCAAGATTGTGCCACTGCACTCCAGCCTGGGTGACCGAGTGAGCGAGTGAGACTCTGTCTCCCCGCCACCCGCCCCCCTCCCCTGCAAATAAAAGAATGTTGCCTTTTATTCAAAGTTATGTATGTATGCAGGCCTCACATAAAACTGGAATTTAAAATAACACTTTTAATTTTTCATATGTGAGAGTCCATAACTACAAATAAATTGGAAACATAGACTTTTTCTCATTTTATCTTAGGAATAGACATTTGCTCTTATATTGTATTTATGATTTGAATTAACTAATTTGGCTCTACAAATGTTGCTTGCTAAAATTTGTCAGCATTATTTGCATCATAAA
Organism: Homo sapiens; assembly: GCF_000001405.40. Lineage (NCBI taxonomy): Eukaryota > Metazoa > Chordata > Mammalia > Primates > Hominidae > Homo > Homo sapiens. The sequence goes on along the minus strand of NC_000006.12, from coordinate 68,869,508 downwards.
TGCTTGAACTCATCTTTGATGTTCTTGCATGATTTCTCTCCTAGGTTTTTCTGTCCAGAAAATTTAAGCTTCTGTAGATATAATTATCACTCTAAATTTGAACCATACATTTGGCTTACTCAAAACAACTAAAGATATTCCTTGAATTTCTTATTTTAGAAAATCTCTATAAATAATTTTAACTATGGCTTTAGTCATAGTTAAAATTGTAAATACATTAAAAAGTTTCTATATCAACCAGAGGCTATTTACATTTCTGAAGGGATTAAAAACTTGGGAGTCTTTGGTTTTAGTTTCCTATATTTAGAAAGTGATAGATGCATGGAATAATTGCAGTGATAAATGCAGAATAATTGAAATGCAAGCATCTTGTAATTAATTTCTCTCTAATGTACTTTAGCTTCCAGTTGACTGCTGAGAAGGATAAAATCTTTGAGGTTAAACTCATTAATTTCATTGGCATCTCCTGGAAAGTATTCATTTTGCTTTGAGGGAGCATCAACAAAACAAAAGCACAGAATTTTAAAGCTGGATAGGATGCTAAGATTAAGTTTAAACACACACACTCACACACACACACACACACACACACACACATCATTATCTGGAAGTCCTATTTCCAGAATCATATTCAGCATGTTAAATACTTTTTGGTTCCAACACTTCCAGGAGTTTGTATTATTGTATTACAAGGCAGCTTGTCATCACACATCTGGCATATGTCTACACAGAAATATTGCACAAATGTGTATCATAATATTTATTCAAAGCATCTCAGAGAAAGATAATAATAGTTATCAAGGTTATGACAATTCCTAAAACTAGATTTTTTCCCAAAATAAAATCTATAAATAGCATTATTTTATGCTCCCTTCAAAATAGGTATTTTGGGAGCAAAGAAAAATAAATGTTTGCTTTAAATGTATGTTGTGAAACTACTGTATAGTTGCTTAAACCAGTTTTGTGGATTTGGTTAAAAAATTATAGTGTTATATATAAAATGGTTTGTGGTTCCTAGCACAAAAATCTTCCTAAAGATAACAACATGTTACATTACTTTATTTTCACATTGCTATAAAGAAGATTGGGATTGGGTAATGTATAAAGAAAAGAGGTTTAATTGACTCACACTTTTACATGGCTGGGGAGGCCTCAGAAACTTACAATCATGGCGGAAGGTGAATGGGAAGAAAGACACACCTTACGTGGTACCAGGAGAGACAGAGCAAGTGGGGGATGACACACACTTTTAAACCATTAGATCTCATAGAACTAACTCACTCTCACCAGAACTGCATAGGGGAAACCTCCCCCATGATCCAGTCACTTCCTACCATGTCCCTTCCCTGACATATGGGGATTATAATTAAACATGAGATTTGGGTGGGGACACAGAGCCAAATCATATCATTTTACCCCTAGTACCTCTCAAATCTCATGTCCTTCTCACATTTCAAAACACAATCATGCCTTCCCAACAGTCCCTTATAGTCTTAACTCATCCTAGCATTAACCCAAAAGTCCAAAGTCTCATCTGAGACAAGGCAAGTCCTTTTGGCCTATGAGCCTGTAAAATCAAAAGCAAGTTAGTTACTTCCAAGAAACAGTGGGAGTACAGGCGCTGGGTAAATGCTGCCATTGCAAAAGGGAGAAATTGGCCAAAAGCAATGGTCTACAGGCCCCTTGCAAGTCTGAAACCCAGCAGGACAGTCATTAAATCTTAAAGCTCCAAAATAATCTCCTTTGACGTCATGTCTCACATACAGGACATGCGGATACAAAGATTGGCCTCCCAAAGCCTTGGGCAGCTCCACCCCTGTGGCTTTGCAGGCTACAGCCTCCCTCCCGGCTGCTTTCATGGGCTGTGTTGAGTGTCTGTGGCTTTTCCAGGAGCACAGTACAAACTGTCTGTGGACCTACCATTCTGGGGTCTGGAGAATGGTGGCTTCTTTGTATAGCTCCACTATGCAGTGCCACAGTGGGACTCTGTGTGGGGGCTCCAACCCCACATTTCCTCTCTACATTGCCCTAGTAGAGGTTCTCCATGAGGGCTCCACTCCTGAAGCAGACATCTGCCTGGATATCCAGGTGTTTCCATACATCCTCTGAAATCTAAGTGAAGTTTCCTAAACTCTTGCCTTCTGTGCACCAGCAGGCTCAACACCACATGGAAGCCACCAAGGCATGGGGCTGGAACCCCCTGAAGCCACAGCCTGAGCTGTACCTTCCCCCTTTTAGCCATGGCTGAAGCTGGAGCAGCTAGGATGCAGGGTGCCATGTCCTGAGACTGCACAGAGAAGCAGCACCCTGGGACTAGCCTACAAAACCATTTTTCCTTCCTAGGCCTCCAGGTCTGTGATGGGAAGAGCTGCCATGAAGAGCTCTGAAATGCCCTGGAGACATTTTTCCCATTGTCTTAACATTTGGCTCCTCTTTACTTATGCAAATTTCTCCAGCTGGCTTGAATTTCTCCCCATAAAATAGGTTTTTCTTTTCTACCACATGGTCAGTCTGCAAATTTTTCAAACTTTTATACTCTGCTTTTGAACATAAGTTCCAATTTCAGACCATCTCTTTGTGAATGCATAAGACTATATACTATTAGGAGCAGCCATATTACATCTTGAATGCTTTTTTACTTGGAAGTTTCTCCTGCCCGATACTCTAAATCATCTCCTGTAAGTTCAAAGTTCCACAGATCCCTAGAGCAGAGACAACGCTGCCAATCTTTTTGCTAAAGCAAAGCAAGAGTGACCTTTGCTCCAGTTCCCAATAAATTCCTAATCTCCATCTGAGACTATCTCAGTCTGGACTTCATTGTCCATACCATTATTAGCATTTTGGTCAAAACCATTCAACAAGTCTCTAGGAAATTCCAAACTTTCACTCATCTTCCTTTCTTCTTCTGAGCCCTCCAAACTGTTCCAAACTCTTCCTGTTATCCAGTTCCAAAGTCGCTTCCACATTTTGAGGTATCTTTATAGCAGTGACCCACTCTCGTGGTACCACTTTTCTGTATTAATCCATTTTCACACTGCTATAAAGCACTAACTGAGACTGGGTAATTTATAAAGAAAAAGTGCTAAGTTCTGCATGGCTGGAGAGGCCTCAGGAAACTAGCAATCATGGCAGAAGGTGAAGGGGAAGCAAGGCATGTCTTACATGGCAGCAGGAGAAAGAAAGGGAGCAAGGGGGGAATTGCCACACACTTTTGAACCATCATATCTCATTGAGAACTCACTCACTATCATGAGAACAGGAGGGGAGAAACTGGCCCCATGATCCAGTCACCTCCTACCAGGTCCCTCCCTAGACATGTGGGGATTACAGTTTGACATGAGATTTGGGTGGGGACACAGAGCCAAACCATGTGACTTGCTGAGTGGGACTTAGTGCCAAATTCTGACACAAAGAAGTTTTAAGTAACCCACCTTCTGAAGTGAGGCACCCATAATTGGGATCAGATCCCTCCCTCATTGTTCTCTGAGTCTCAAGAGATTACAGAACCACTCTGATCTCTGTCTAGCAAATATATGGGTGAAAAACAGAGGTAGTGTAAGAATCATATGTCTTGTGAAAATTTTGTTACTGGTAAGACGCAATTTCTTCTCCTGGCCATGGTGGAAAGGAGGAAGAAGGCTATTGTTCTGTTGCTTCATTGGATATCTGCTTGGGTAATAGTTTTACTGATTTGGCTTAGGTCTCTGAGCAAAAAGGGAATTGCAGAGAGACAGCAGGAAGGTAGACAGAAGGTGCAGGACTAAACCACACACATACCCAGCATTCAGTACAGGAAAATGAATGAGTTTCCATGGCCATGAGAATTTTGAGAATGGAGAACTTGAATCATTCTGCTGATAGTCCACCCAAAAGAGCTGTCCACCAGATAAAGGGACCCCTGCAGTTACAGCATGGAGTGTTCCACCCATGATGAGGGCTGAAGATGGCTGAGGGCTAATGTTTTAGTATGATCTTGAACTTTCACACTAGGTAACTGAGCAGGAAGATCCCACAGGACCCTTCAAAGCATGCACCTATGTACCCCATGAGAGAATCAGGATTTCTTCTTCACCTTGCAGAGAAGGTAACCCTGAAGAGAGAGGTGAGGCAAGAAAGACAGATCCTTCCCTTCCCTTATAACTTCAGATCCCTCAGCCTTGGATAAGTTTGTGCTTGGGAAAAAAGAGAAAATGTAATTTTAATCAATTGGGATTAAATTTTTATCAGAACTGGACTTTTCATTATCAAAATCACAGAAAAAAAATGTATATTATATCCAAAATATTAATGGGGGATAGGAGAGGGTCTGAGGATGAGCAAAATATGTTTTGAAACTCCTCATAAACTGGGGGTGAAACAAGACTCAGGTTTCTGTTGGTATTTATTTTATTATATTTTTGAATATATGTCTGGACAAGAGGAAGCTAGAACCAGAGATACAAATAAATTTGCAGACCAAGAGTTAGCCTTCAGTATAGAAAGCAGGCAATTTCATCATTCCTTCAAATTCTTCAACAGGTCAAAACAACGAGAATTTAAGAGATATAGTATAGTCTTTCAGGTGGAGTGTAAACCTTAGAAGACTGAGAAAAATGGCCCTGCTGTAATCAACAATCTATTCAGATACTACTTGCTACATTTATAATGTCTTACAAATTAATAACCTAGAGACAACCAACTATCTTCAGAAAACACTAATGCTTCAAGCCCCAGAATTTTCAGGTGGGATTAATATACTAGGGATTTTAGCTCAACCCAGGAGCTCCCAGAACAAATGAACTGGCCAGTAACTTGAGCAAAGGAGATGCTGTTTTCACACAATTAGCTATTTTCTTGTAGTAATTAGTATCAATTAGCAGAAACATAACATAGACCTCCAAATAACAGGGGGTTACACAAAAGGAGTCGTTTATTTTGTCTTCAGTTCAGTGACTCCGTTGCCAGCTTTCTGCTCCATCATCCCTAGGGTGTGGCTCTCATTCTCTTCCTATCCAAGAATGTCTGAGATCCAAGCAACAGGTTTTAGAGAGGAGCAGAAAAACTACACTTCTTCCTTTAAGACTATGGCCTGAAAATGGCACACTTTTCCTCCAACTCATTGCCCAGAACTTAGTCAATTTGCTGCAACTTCCTGGCCACCGTGACCTCAGCTCAAAATGAAAGTTCCTTTATTACAGGAGAGGATATACAGGGGATTATTAGAACTAGCAGTTGCTAACACATCACTTATATGGCAACTATAAGTGCCATAACTTAACTGTGCATAGATATAGCCATATCAAGAAATTAAGTAAAATATATTCTGGGCAGTCCAATAAGTATTACAAATCCATGCACTAAACTTGGTGAACTTTATTCATATAAGACTGCATCATATCTGAAATATTTGTTTTTTCCCTGATCAAATAATTTTGATAAGATGGTATAAAGCCTGTAATTGAAGAGAAGAAATAAATTATAAAAAAGAAGAATTGATAGGGGTATAAATACTGAATTATAATGATCTTTGGTACCCTGAAAGAAAATCTAATTAGGAAAAAGACACAACTCCAATAGCAGAGAGATCTAGAATAAATGCAATAATTTAGTATAATGCATATGCCATTTACTTATCGCTTTATCCCACAAATATCCCCGGGATATTAATTGCAATTCATTAGGTGTTTTTAAAAAAGGGTATGACCTTTTAAGAAAGGCATGATTTAATGTAACGGATATTGAGAGAGCCTAAGTAAGGCTGATTTCTGAGCTTACAGGCAATAATCATCAGCCATTTGGAAAACTTAGCTATCCAATAAAAGCCATTCTCTAAGTAGTCTAAAAGCTGAGAGTTTAATTTTAGTGTGTTCATATGTATATTTTTAAGTGTATTCATCAATAAATGCCTTTTATGTACTGTACTTGGACATACAGTTTTTCAAAATGTGTGAGTTTGCAAACTGATTGGATATCATTTAAAAAGGATTTGTAAATTTTATTGAATATCAAGAAGTATGATTCATAATAAATGATATTTTAATAAATTATTTATTAAAATCATACTAAATGATTATTTTAATAAAATGTATCAGTTTTACCCCAAACACATTATAATTTATCTTATTATAATTGCTAAAGTATTGTCAATTAACTTAAACTTAATTGCAGTCAATATGTGATGAGAAACACTATGGTCCATATTACTTCATATATATGGTAACTTTACTAAGAATTTCTCTAATATATTTGACCATTTCTTTTGTCTGTACTCAGGAATTTGAATAACATAAAGTATCTCTGAAAATCCAAATAGATGGCAAATAGAGTGCTAAAATTAATGAAAAGGAAACTACTCCTTTATTTACACATACATATAGAATGTCTTATGAGAACATTTAGATAAGTGGCAAACACTTTGGGACTGAAATATTGGTAAGTATGCACAAAACTAAAGAAACAAAAAATATAGTAATTATTAACTTCAGGGAAAACAAAAAGTAGTACATAAAAGGAAAAATAATCATAGCTGTGAATAGCATTTTCATAATGTTAGTAATGCAAATGCTTAGCACTTACCTATACCAAAGTTATAACTCAATTCTATTGACGACAATTGGAAGGGGAAGGGAAAGAAAAGAGACAAAAATCTTGATCATTTGTGGTGGGAATTTAAGAAACCATTATTAAAACTGGTAATCAAGAGGAAGCAATAGAAATATGTAATATGAAGAAGATAAATGCTAAAACAATCATCCAAAAGAAGTAAAAGTGATAGCCTTAGTGGAAAAGAAAGGGAAGCAGGGATCATTGTTTTATGAACAATCTCTCATATATATCAGACCTTTAAACTAAAAGTAAAAGTGAAGAAAATAAGGGAAAAGAAATTTAATACATAAAACTAAGTAAACTTAGCTAAGGACATTGTCACATTTTGATACTTGGTAAGATCTGTGGCAAGTTAATCTCCCTGAGACTTGGTCCCCCTGACCCCAACTCTGTAAAATATAGTACCTTCTTCACAAAATCACTATGAAGATTGCAGGAGAGTATGTTTGTGAAGAGTCTGTACCACTTGCTGTACATAAGCACTTCCTCCTGAACTGTTATTGCTTGTGTAATGAAACATTAAGGATGAAACACTTCCCATTCTGGTGCACCCATGGTGTAGGTCAGATAGATTGCAGATACCAATGTGAGTGAGAGACATCTCCCCATAGACAGATTTTATGAAGAAACAATAACAAAAATTAATGTCACAACTTTTGACTACATCAAAGATATCAAAGATGGTCAGATTTTGGAAAAGAGGAGGTTTGTGAAGACTTCTTTGAAAGGAGTAATGGTGAGTCTTTATGCCCATAAGGAGAAAGCATTGCTGAATTGGGGTGGGGGGGGGGGTCCCTCCTCCTCTTTAAACATAGTGAGGAAAGTTTCCACAGGATGAGTTGGAAAGTTTGAAATAAGAGCTCTGAAGTTGGGATCCAGGACAGGACAGTGTCTGACTTGCTCCCGAGAAGCAAGAGTGGGCAAGAACAGTAGGATAGATAGTAATGATAATGACAATAATGGTTAAAAATACCATAAACTAATCTAGCTCTTATAAAATGTCAGACACTGTTCTAAGCACTTTGCATATATTACCCCCATTTAATTCTCACAACTTTATCTAGTTCATGAGGACACTGAAGCACAGAGAGGTAAGTAGCATGCTATGGTTGCACAGACAGAAAATGACATAAATTTGAACAGATAACATTTGACTCCAAGATTACTTAATTCTAACAATTATGTTAGACTAATGGTCATTGAAGACAGGACTCCATCCAAAAAGAATAACCTACAATTTGGAAACTGAAGGCAGTTAATTTTGCTATGGTCTCTTGAAAATAAAATAGTACAGATTTGCATATTTGCATAACTGTTGTATACTGACAAGTGTGTAGAATTTATTTATTTATTTTTTTTTTGGAGATGGAGTCTCGCTCTGTTGCCCAGGCTGGAGTGCAGTGGCGCGATCTCGGCTCACTGCAAGCTCCACCTCCCGGGTTCACGCCATTCTCCTGCCTCCACCTCCCGAGCAGCTGGGACTACAGGTGCCCGCCACCACGCCCGGCTAATTTTTTTGTATTTTTAGTAGAGACGGGGTTTCACCGTGGTCTCAGTCTCCTGACCTTGTGATCTGCCTGCCTCGGCCTCCCAAAGTGCTGGGATCACAGGCGTGAGCCACCGTGCCCTCCCAGAATATTTTAATTAGACAGATGGTAAATAGTGAAGTTGGGTTGCAAACCTAGGCCAGGTGGATTATAGAGGCCAGGAAATATCCACTCTACTAGAGTGGAATTCATATCTGCAAACTGAGGATAATAGGGTTTATTTCATGCTGTGTTTTGTTTTGCAAAAGCAATGACTAGCACAGTGGTTCTCAGACAGTGGCCCAGGAATCTCTTGAGAAATTCAAGACTCTCTCCAGGGTCCATGAGGTGAAAAATAAGATCCATCTGTGGTGCAAGATAGATCGATGAGTTTAAATGCAATGAGTCTGAAATGTGTGTCAATATGGCTTCATATTCCACTTTGTAACTAACTTTTAACAAACTACCACTGGTTGAGTTTTAGAGTAGCCCCAATAATATCCACTGCTCTTAAAAAAAAAGCATATTTAAAAAACTCTTCCCTTTTGCTATATATCAGTACAAGTTCTTTGGAAAACAGTATAGAGATTTCTCAGAGAATAATAGAACTACCATTTGACCCAGGAATCCCACTGCTGGGTATCTCCCCACAGGAAAAAAAATTGTCATATCAAAAAGACACTTGCACTCTTATGTTTATAGCAGCACAATACACAATAGCAAAGTCATGAAATCAACCTAAGTGTCTATCAGTGAAAGACTGGATAAAGAATATGTGGCATATATATATGGTATACACCATGGAATACTATGTAGCCATAAAAAAGAATGAAATCATGGCTTTTGCAGCAACATGGATGGAGTGGGAGGCCATTATCCTAAGTGAAATAATTCAGAAACAGGAAATCAATTATCATTTATCCTCATTTATAAGTGGGAGCAAAAGAATGAGAACACATGTACTTAGAGAGGGAAGTAATATACACTGGGGCTCCAGAATGGGAGAGTGGGAAGAGTATTAGAGTTGAAAAATCAACTATTGGGTACAATATTCATTATTCAAGTGATGGGTACACTAGAAGCCCAGATGTCACTATTGGACAATATATCCATGTAACAAATCTGCACATGTAACCCCTGAATCCATAAAAAGTAAAATAAAATAAAATAAAGATTCTTCCCCTTTTGAACTATATATATATCTGTGTGAGGCTTGATTTTCTTTTTATGCATATATAGAACAGCATAACACAACATACTGAATACAGAAGCAGATACAGAAATATATCTGTCTTCCATATAAACAGACACTAAAGGTATTTGCAAAAATGTAAAACAATGCCAGTATTCTCATTATATATTTTATTTTGGAAAATATACATAGTTATTTTTCATAAAATACCTATAGTTACTATTATGTTATGGAATAATTATTTTATTTTTAAATGAATTATTTCATATTTCTATATTTTCTCAATTGCATTTCTATTAATAGATATTATCTATGTAAACAACAAAATATTGGGGCTCCTCAATAATTTATGAGACCAAAATGTTTGAGAATTATTGGCCTATCATAGCTACTCAATAAACACTGATATGGTTTGGCTGTGTCCCCATCCAAATCTCATCTTGAATTGTAGCTCCCATAATTCCCATGTGTCATGGGAGGGACCTGGTGGGAGATAATTGAATCCTAGGGGTGGGTCTTTCCCATGCTGTTCTCATGGTAGCAAATAAGTCTCACAAGATCTGAAGGTTTTATAAAGGGGAGGTCCCCTACACAAGTTCTCTCTTGCCTGCCACCATGTAAGACATCCCTTTGCTATTCCTTTGTCTTTAGCCATAATTGTGAGGCCTCTCAAGCAATGTCAAAGTGTAAGTCCATTAAACTTTTCTTTATAAATTACCCAGTCTCAGGTACATGTTTACTAGCAGTGTGAGAACAGACGAATACAGTAAATTGGTACCAGGAGTGGGGTGTTGCTGAAAAGATACCCAAAAATGTGGATGAGACTTTGGAACTGGGTAACAGGCAGAGGTTGGAACAGTTCAGAGGACTCAGAAGACAGGAAGATGTGGGAAAGTTTGAAACTCCCTAGAGATTTGTTGAATTACTTTGACCAAAATGCTGATAGTGATATGGACAATAACAGGCTGAGGTGGTCTCAGATGGAGATGGGGAATTTGTTGGGAACTGGAGTAAAGATCATGCTTGCTATACAAAGAGACTGGCAGCATATTGCCCTGACCTAGAGATCTGTGGAACTTGGAACTTGAGAAAGATAATTTAGTATATCTGGTGGAAGAAAATTCTAATCAGCAAGGCATTCAAAGGGTGACAGAGCACAAAAGTTTGCAAACTTACAGCTTGATGATGTAGTAGAAAATAAAATCCCATTTTCTGGGGAGAAATTCAAGCTGGCTACATAAATTTGCATAAGTAATAAGGAGCCAAATGCTAATCTCCAAAACAATGAGGAAAATGTCTCAAGGGCATGTGAGAGATCTTCACAGCAGCCCCAACCATTACAGGCCCAAAGGGTCAGGAGAAAACAATGGTTTTGTTGGCCAGGCCCAGGGCCTCCCACACTGTGTGCAGTCTAGGGACTTGATGCCCTGTGTCCCATCTGCAGCTGAAAGGGGTCAATGTAGAGCTCAGGCTATTGCTTCAGAGGGTGCAAGCCCCAAGCCATTCTCTTATCAAAGGTAATGGCTCTAAATGGCTGTGTTCCCTGATGTACTTTTTAGTTGGGTGAATACTGTAAAATTGTATTTATGCTGTGTTTTTTTTTTTTTTTTTTTGAGTCAGGGTCTCACTCTGTCACTCAGTCTGGAGTGCAGTGACATGATCATGGCTCACTGCAGCCTCAACCTCAGGTGTTTTTTTTTTTTTTTTGGAGTGTTGCACTGTCACCTGGGCTAAAGTGCAATGGCTCCATCTCAGCTCACTGCAACCTCCACCTCCTGAGTTCACACAATTCTCCTGCCTTAGCCTCTCGAGTAGCTGGGATTACAGGCACACACCACCACACCTGGCTAATTTTTTGTATTTTCAGTAGAGATGGGGTTTCTCTATGTTGGCCAGACTGATCTTGAACTCCTGACCTTGTGATCCACCCGCCTTGGCCTCCCAAAGTGCTGGGATTACAGGCGTGAGCCACAGTGCCTGGCCAGGTTTTGAGCAAATCTTCCACCTTAGCTTTCACATAGCTGGGACTGCAGGTATGAAACATCATGCCTGACTGTATTAGTCCATTTTCACATTGCTGATAAAGACATACCAAAAACTTGGCAATTTACAAAAGAGGGTTAATGGAGAACTCACAGTTCAACATGGATGAGGAAGCCTCACAATCATGGTGGAAGGCAAGGAGGAGCAAGTCACATCTTATATGGATGGCAGGAGGCAGAGAGCTTTTGCAGGGTAACTCCCATTTTTAAAACCATCAGATCTCATGAGACCCATTAAGTATCATGAGAATAGCACAAGAAAGACCCACCCACATAATTCAATCATCTCCCACTGGGTCTCTCCCACAACAAGTGGAAATTATGGGAGCTACAAGATGAGATTTGGGTGGGGACACAGAGTCAGATCATATAATTCTGCCCCTGGCTCCTCCCAAATCTCACATCTTCACATTTCAAAACCAATCATGCCTTCCCAACAGTCCCCCAAAGTCTCAGCTCATTTCAGCATTAATTCAAAAAGTCCACAGTCCAAAGTCTCATCTGAGACAAGTCCCTTCTGCCTATGAGTCTGTAAAATAAAAAGAAAATTAGTTACTTCCTAGATACAATGCAGGTACAGAGACATTGCCTAAATGCAGCCATTCCAAATGGGAGACATTGGCCAAAACAAAGGGATTACAGGGCCCATGCAAGTATGAAATCCAGCAGGACAGTCAACTCTTAAAGCTCCAAAATGATCACCTTTGACTCCATGTCTTACATTCAGGTCAAACTGATGCAAGAGGCAGGTTCACATAGTCTTGGGCAGTCTGCTCCTGTGGTTTTGCAGGGTATAGCCTCCCTCCCAGCTGCTCTCATGGGTTGGCATTGAGTGTCTGCAGCTTTTTCAGGTGCACAATGCAAGCTGTCAGTGGATCTACCATTCAGGGGTCTGGAGGACAGTGGCCCTCTTCTCACAGCTCCACTAGGCAGTGCTACAGTAGGGACTCTGTGTGGGGGCTCCAACCCCACATTTCCCTTCCACACTGCCCTAGCAGAGGTTCTCCATGAGGGGCCCCCAATGCAGCAAACTTCTGCCTGGTCATCCGGCATTTCCATACATCTTTTGAAATCTAGGTGGAGGTTCCCCAACCTCAATAGTTGACTTCTGTGCCCTTGCAGGCTCAACACCCCATGGAAGCTGCCAATACCTTGGACTTCCACCCTTTGAAGCCAAAACCCAAGCTGTACCTTGGCTTCTTTTAGGCATGGCTGGAGCTTCTGGAATGCAGGATACCAAGTCTGCAGTCTGCACAGAGCAGGAGAGCCCAGGGCCTGGCCCATGAAATCATCTTTTCCTCCTAGGCCTCTGGGCCTGTGATGGGAAGGGCTGCTGTCAAGACCTCTGACATGCCCTGGAGACATTTTCCCCATTGTTTTGGGGATTAACATTCAGCTCCTCATTACTTATGCTAATTTCTGCAGCTAGCTTGAATTTCTCCCCAGAAAATGGGATTTTATTTTCTATCACATAGGCTGCAAATACGCTGTTTCCCTTTTAAAACTGAATGCATTTAACAGCCTCCAAGTCACCTATTGAATGCTTTGCTGTTTAGAAATTTCTTCTGCCAGGTATTCTAAATTATCTCTCTCAAGTTCAAAGTTCCATAAATCTCTAGGGCAGGAGCAAAGTGCCACCAGTCTATTTGCTGAAACATAACAAGAGTCACCTTTGCTCCAGTTCCCAAAAAGTTCTGCATCTCCACCTGAGACCACCTCAACCTGGACCCTATTGTTCATATAACTATCAGAATTTTGGTCAAAAACATTCAACAAGTCTCTAGGGAGTTCCAAACTTTCCAACCTCTTCTCATTTTCTGAGTCCTCCCAACTGTTCAAACCTATGCCTGTTACCCAGTTCCAAAGTCACTTCCACATTTTCAGGTATCTTTTCACCAATGCCCCACTCTACTGGTACCAATTTACTGTATTAGTCCGTTTTCACACTGCTGATAAAGACATACCTGAGACTGGGCAATTTACAAAAGAAAGAGGGTTAATGGAGAATTCACAGTCCCATGTGGCTGGGGAAGCCTCACAATCATGGTGGAAGGCAAGGAGGAGCAAGTCTCAACTTATGTGGATGGCAGCAGGTGAAGAAAGCTTATGCAGGTCTACTCCCATTTTTAAAAACATCAGATCTTGTAAGACCCATTCACTATCATGAGAACAGCATGGGAAAGACCCACCCCCATGATTCAACCATCTCTCACCTTGTTCTGGGAATTATGGGAGCTGCAAGATGAGATTTGGGTGGGGTCACAGAGCCAAACCATATCACTGCCTAATTTTTAAAGAAAATTTTTGTAGAGATGGGGGTCTCACTATTGTTGCCCAGGCTGACCTCGAACTCCTGGACTCAAGCGATCTTCCTGCCGTGGCCTTCTGAAATGCTAGGATTACAGGCATGAGTCAGTGCCCCCTGGACTAGAATTATTACTAATCCAGTACATTCTTAATATTGGGCAATACAATTAAATCTATGAGTTATAATTTAATGATTTTCTATTGTTCTTTGAAGAGTAAAGTTTTTTAATCATCTAACATGTGTTACAAAAATGATTTTGTTTAATACTGGTGCAAAGTGAGGTATTAAAATATTTAATAATATCAAAGGATATATTTTAGTGTTATATATATTTTAATAAATCACATATATTATATAACAGTATAAATATTTTACCTAGAAATTCATTGTTAGAAATTATGTCAACACATGATTACATTAAATTAAATTAAATTAAATTAATGCTATTAGTTTTTTCCCCTAAAGTGTTTAAATTAATTTTATGGATCACAAAGCTCATGTCTTGGTAGACTGTCATAAGGACAGTGGACAGGAAACTATTTGAAGACACTATAACTTGAGGCTATATTTGCTATTTGCAAGTATTCAACATCAGAGTTTTTATTGTCTTTAAAAGGCCTGGGAAACAATCACCATTGCTGTAGATATTAAAAGATATTTGGAGTTGATATCTACTAAGAAACAGGCAAAAAAGAGTAAAACAGAATACTTGATTTTCATAAAGGGACAATGTAATAATGCAAAATGCAGCAAAAGACTTAGGCCTGGAAGAAGCTCTTTTCAAGTCAGTTTGGATGCAGGTTCCTTCCTGATAAAAGCTGTCGTGCCTAGGTCTGACTCCTTAGGCAAAGACAAGGAGTGGTAAGAAGCTGCATGTAGGAGCAGGTGCAGGGATGGGTTTTTGGGGCAGGATTAAGCAGCAGTAGTAATACTCCATAGGATCTCCATGAATATCTTTGGCCAGCATCCCAGAGAGATAAAGGCAATGCTGGGAGAGACTCTGAAGTCTGCAGCTGGGGTCCAAGGTGGATAGACTGTGGCATCAGGTATCAAGGCAGAAAGGCAAGGCAAGGAAAACACAGAGAGAAATCTGTGCCCTAGAGTCAGAGGTGCAGAGAATGATTAGAGTGAGGTATTCAGTGGATAAGATCTAGAAGTTCAGACACTAAATCTGTAAAATGCTGGCACAGGGAGGACATTTCTTTTCTCTATGGCCAAACCCTTTGCTAAGATGAGGACAGTTTTTTATAGGCTGGTCACTTGTTTGCACCAACTAGCAAAGCTCCAAAAAAAAGACAAGCTTTTTTCCAAAAAAAAATTTTTTAGATTTTTAAAATTTATATATACAATCGCATCTATTTATTGTGTATTACATGATATTTGAAAGTACATATACATTGTAGAATGGTTAAATCTAGCTAATTAACAAGTACATTATCTCACATAGTTATCATTTTTGTGGCGAGAATACATCCACCTTCTTAGCATTTCTCTAAAATACAATATATCATTATTAATTATAGAAACCATGCTATATAATAAATCTCTTGATGTTATTCTTCCTATTTAACAGTAAAGCCAAGCTCTTGAACCTGCAATGAGGCAAACTCAATATAGATAAACTAATTCCAGATATTTAACAGCCATAGCCAGAGAACTGCAGAGATTACCTAATGGAAGGAAATGACAAATGCTTTAGAAAGAGAGTGGATGGAGCCTGTGCACATAGAGCCTTTGATCAACAAAAGACAAAAACAACGACACAAAATCCTGAGACTGTGTCTGGATAGGAGGTAGTAGCCATTTTTATATAGATCACTACAAAACAATCACAGCAAGAAATGAGCAGGCAGTGCAGAATTAAGAATTAAGATGATTAATAAAAGATCTGTACAGGACTGGGTCAAAGAAAATTCCCTTCGCACATGCATGGTTAAGGATTTTAGTGCTTCCTTTGTAGTGAAAGATTGGAAGTAAAATTAAAACCATAATATTGATAATCTATGTTACCCTTATTCATGTTTAAGTGAACTTTCTAATAAATTGTAAACCATACATTTGACATGTGATTTCAATCATTCTCACATCTTTTTAGGTTTTACTTTTTTTTTGCAAGTCTGAGTAAGTTAGAACAACTTCTTCAGTTACTACCAAAGACATTTTAAACAGATAGATTTCAAATGGACAAATTCTGAAAATATTCCCAGATTGAGCAGATAAATAATGTTGCACCCCTTAGAGAGCTATGTATAATATATCCTATACAGTTATATTCTTAATCAAAATATGGACAGAAATAGTTAAAATTCTAATTGTTTTCTCAATACCTACATGTTTTCTTCTCTGTGTAATAACATTTCAGATTTCATATTTTCTCCAGTAATGAAAACCTGTTTTTACCTAGACAGCTAAGAATCACTACAGGATGAAAAGCATTATTAAATGGTTTGCCACAAAATGAATGAAACCATTCATTTATTTCAACTTATGGTTATTAAGTATCAAGCTTTAAAATCTTTTGAAAACAATACAGGTTATGAAATCTTTACTCAATTATAAGATGTTAATTGGTTTTTTCTGAATGCATTTTTCTTTATATTTACTGTGGGCAATTTCTGTCAGATATTATTGTACAAAGATATATCATAATTTGTTCTGCTTTGGCTTGTCATGATTGCATAAAAGATTAAAGCTTTACTCATGGGTAAAAATAAATTACAGACACTAATGAATGAGAATTTCATGGAATAAAATCTAGGCTCTAGAATACATACAATGTAAACTATATGATATTTCAGGTATGAAATTAAATGCTGACCTTGGTCAAATGGATCAAGTCTGCACTGAGGACATTTTTGCTGCTGAGCAGTATATATGGCTCATCATTTAGTATTCTAGTCACAAAGGTGACATTGTTTCCATTCCTGGCATTTTAGTCTATTGAGTCTAAAGAAGTAACTCATTATTCCATACTCAGAGCCAATATTTTCTACTTAAAACAAAATTCTAACAAAATTAATGTGAGATGAGGACAGCATTAATTCATTTCCAACTAAATTAGTTATCTAGTCTTTGACAGCCTGCATTGTTACAGTGTGCAGCACTGAAGACTACAATTTTTTAAAAGAAAAAATGTTGAGCATTTATAAGAAAGATAGAATATGCTTATATAGCTTTTTTCTTCCTCCTAGAAGGATCCTATTAAAAAGATGCCACTGATAGTGTTGGCACAAATGGTGGAGCTTTTTTTAAATATCAAAATGTTTAATGAAGCCAAAATACATTTGTTTACCTCTGGGATAAAACAATTTCAGGTGGCCTCTATGAGCTTTTCAGCTATAGCTAAAGTGTTTGTCTATACTCTTTAACGATATACAAGTTATTGTGTGTATAATAATACAGTTTTGTACTAATCATATAAAATAATTTGAGCATTTTTGTTAGAGGTCTATTACCATGTATTTATAATTTTTCAATGTTACTTAATGTATTCAATATATGCTAATTTAGCAATTTAAACACTTCTGAGCCCAATTACAAAAATGCTTTCATCTGTGGAGCCCTTACTAATTAAGAATAAAAGACATGAAGCATAAATCTTTTTTTATACAGCATTCAAGGCTACATTAAGATAAATGGATAAATCTGGACACTCATGATTAAAACGTATTTGTAAGTATGTGGTATTTGATAAATAATTTTTAATATCTAAATTCTACAAAGAAAGAGGAAATATAAATTGTAAATGTATTTGGGAGGAAGCATAGTAACAACTGGAATAAAGTGCAAGGACTTATAAACCTACAATAGGTTATAGTAAACAACGTTGAAATGAATAATATATAAAGAGATTTAAAACTTTTTTTGTGTCTTTCTCATATAATAAAACTTGGCTCATTGCACAATGCAAATAAATTGCCTATGATTTCATGAATCAGTCAAGAATATCAGAAATATCACCGTCTCCGTGAAATCTATATCTTTAGTGTAACTTTTATTTATCCTCCTGAAACTTTCCAAAAGTCATTTTACCTACTTGAAATAATCACAAGAAAAGTAGTTCAGGAATATATTTAAAGAATATCCCGATACAATATGATAAACTTTCTATCACTAAAGATTGAAAGATTAAATTTAAAATGATAGATTGAAAAACCGTAGGATTCTTTTAAATTTTACAAATAAGACTTGTACATATTCATGGGGTAAATAATGATGTTTTGATATTTATAATTTGTAGTGATCAGATCAGGGTAATTTTGTATCATTTAACAAATCTCTCTCTATTCCTAAATGCCATAGTTTATGCAGCATAATTATCTCAATAATGTAATGATCATTAAAAATTACATGTGATGTTTGGATAATCATTTGATAATGTATATGCAGAACTTTAAAGATTAAATAGTTACTTCTTGGTTAAAATAGCTAAAATATCTTCATAGTATTAGAATTTTCCTAAGTGATACCTAGGAAAATGAGCAAAAATTGTCATGTAAAAAGAAAAATATTACCAACAGTGTCCAGAAAAGGAAAGACGATACTATAATATTTGAAAACTAGAGAGAAAGACAGCTAGAGAGGCAGAGAAACAGAGAGAAAGAGAGAGAGACAGAAGGAGGCAAAGAGAGAAGAGAAAGAAAATATGCATGCAGCTCAAACTGCAGCCTTGAAAGAAAAATTAACTGGTATCAGGTATAGTAGGAAGAGGCTAAACACGTTACCCATGTTTTATCAGAGCAGATAGAACTTTATAGAACTCCCAAAATGATCAAAGAAAGGAAGCAAAGCCAAGTGTCCAAAATGGAAGAAAAGTAACTGATGGAACAGAATGGAATTACTCACAATTATTTCATATTATTAAATAACACATTGAGAATGTAAATTCTTCAAAAATGAGCTCAAATGTGAGAAACAAGTACACATGATTAAAATGTCTATCAGACTTATGAACACAAGTTGAGGATCAATATTCCACCATTATGTAACAATATATAATTCAGAAATAGTGAAAACAAAATTGACTTGACTAGAAATCAAATAAGTGATATTGTTAAAAATGTTGAGGTTTATATAATGAATGCTGCTTCATTGTAAATGAAGAGGATTAAAATGATTAAAGAAAAACAAGTAGATATGGAAGTGAGACTAGGTAATACAGCATAACAATAATTCATGTCTGTGAAGTAGAGACTCAACAAACGTAGGAGAAGATGCATGTTGAATCTATAATATTATTTTCCCAAATAAGTAACTTAATCTGAACATCAGAAGTATACAATTTCAAGTAAACTTGACATAGTCAACAATAAGACATGGCCTACTCAACCTATTGACTATTCAGATCCCCACAACCCTCCCACAAAGTGTCACCTAACAGGAGAGAAAACATGAGGGTAGCTGCAGACATTTCCAACATACAATGCAAGAGGTGATAAAACAACGTCTGCACCCTCTAAAGTAACAAAAATGTAACCCAATAATTCTATCACCATTCAAGATGTTATTCAGAGATAAAGGCTATAGGTGCTATCAAAAAAGAATGAATTAAGATAACTATACTCAGGTGCCCTTCTTGAGTAAAAAAGTAAAAAAGCTTGAGCATCAAGTATGTCCAATTAAAAGATAAATTAAAAAAAACACAGAGCAATCGAGAATCCATGGTAAAATGAAATGGTGAGGCACACTGAATCCAGTTATATACATAACTATTAATAAAAAAACTATGGGACCTGAGGTTACAGAACAAAATGTGAATGTTTTAAACATGAGCAATGTAAACGATAACATGCCTTATTAAAATGAAGAGATGTAAAAGTGGTAATACCACTATTACACATATTTTAAATATGTGTAAAATATCACACATATTTTAAACAGGAATCCAATAAAGTTAAAATTGAAGAAGGTGATTTAAAAAATCATTCTATTGTAAAAGATTTTTATATTATCTTCTCACTTTTTCTTTAAGCTTATTGGTTTATTTTCTGCTATGAAGTTCAAATGAAACTAAAGTTGACACATTTGATTGAAAAAAACTTCTATACTATGGTTCCCCTATTATAAATTATTTCCATCCAGCTATCCATCCAAACATCTATCTAAGAAGTTAGAAGATACAGATGGAAGTTCTATCTGTATATTTGCATAGAGAGGTGAATTGTGACATTGAGACTTGGGTGAGATAGTGTCCAGCTAATGCTAAAAATGAGAGTTTGAGAGTGGTAGAATTTGAATTTTCATCTTTAATTTTCAGTATTATTTGTATTCTTTAAGGATATGCAATTTTGCCTAAAACAATAAAATATATTTCTTTAAAAATTGGAAGCAAGTGTGTTAAAAAGGTGTAATAATCTTATTTTCAGTAGCTGAATACTAATTGAACTTCACAAGTTTGATTTAGATAATTTCAGTGTTTAACACTTATGTGCATGCATTTTATTCTTCCCTCAATATTTCCTCTCCTACATAAGAGATTACTTAAATTTTCAGTGATTTTTTTTTTGAATTGTAAATTAGAATTTAACTTAAATGTGTAGCTTAGATGCTAGTCTACATTGTGGTCATTCCTTAGACTTTACTGCAAACCCTTCAAGCAGACACATATATATTTAAACGTATTAATACAAATATATTAGGAAGTACTTTCACTGGGAATGATTATTGAAGGAAACTGATGTTTTCTTATATCTCTTTTCATGATTCAAGAACCATTTCTCACCTAGCGATTAAGGCAAATATTATTCCTTTTCAAAACCTTCCGAATAAACAACTCAAACATTTCAGCCATCATCCAAGTCTGGGTGAGCATTTAACCTTTCCTAAAAAATTAATCAATCTTATATGTACTCTTTTGTTTCCTCCTTTATTCCTTCCAATTTCAGGAATGGTGTTTTTATTAACTGAGAAGATACATTAAAAATTAAGTTAGTCTTTGAATTGTCAATGTTAAAAAATCAATGGAAAATTCAACGAATGCTAATGCCGCCTTAGGAAAATTTTTAATGTCAGTATAAATGAAATATTTTTTAGGTTTTGTTAAATTTTGATAGGACTGTACCTGAGAGAATAACGACTTATAAGGTGAACCAATTTTGACAAAAGAAACAAAAACAATGCTTACGTTACTTGTTCCTCTGTCAAAATTTTCCTTTGCTCTATTGATTTAGAAATTATAAAATTTAGAAATTTTAGAATTTAGACTTAATAACACAAAATGCTAAACATATTTAAATAGAATTATGTAAAACATAGTAAAAATATGTGATTGGTCTGAGAAAGAAGAGATATTTTAAAAAACTAAATAGAACACCCAAAAGCTAGTTTGTTAGATTAATGCAGAATCATAGCCACTTGCTTTTTGTATGACTTTTCACTCCCAAGTCAAAGTATGTTAATTAAAAGCTCATTTTAAATGAAAACACTCAAAATTTGAGTTTTACCTAGCTTCTTAGTTTCTTAGTTAGCATTTCTTAAGAGCAAAGATTAGCATTTCCCCTTTGATTTGTAGATGGGAAGTTGCTATTGTTGCTATTAATAGGGATAATAGATTGTGTTTTATTCATGTATTATTACCAGAGTGCAAGATAAAATTAATAGATCATTGGACTGAATAACCAGTATGAAAGATTTATGCTTTTACTATTACCTCTTCATTGTTTTTTTAAAAGTGACTTTTTAATAGTCACAATTTCTTATTTTTATGTTTAAAAGTTTTTAATCCTTTTAAAATTATAAACTGTTTTTATTTTTATTAAGTGACTGATTTTAATTTTATGCTTGATTAACAAATATTAATTCTACTTAGTTTAAATCTTAGATTTGTAGAAATGATTTTATGTTGACGTCTTTTTTTAGATTTAATTTCTCAGTTGTATGACTCAGGTTCATAAATTTGTACTTAGTTGATATCACTTTCTTCTTTTTTTCTATTCTTTTTTTTCCTTCCTTTCCTTTGTGTCTCCCTTCCTTCTTTTCAAAAAACAATCTTCTACTACTTCCTTCTGAACTTACTTTCTACATTTTACTTACTCCTTTTGATTTCATTTGCTTTTCCTCTTCTTTCCCCGACCCCACCTCTTTTAACAACAAAACAACATAACTTTATTCTTTAACAGTGTATTAGTCCGTTTTTATGCCGCTGATAAAGACATACCCGAGACTGGGAAGAAAAGGAGGTTAATTTGACTTACAGTTCCACATGGCTGGGGAGGTCTCATAATCATGGCAGAGGGCGAAAAGACACTTCTTACATGGCAGCAGCAACAGAGAAAGAGGAAGAAGCAAAAGTGGAAACCCCTGATAAACCCATTAGATCTTGTGAGACTTATTCACTATCATGAGAATAGCATGAGAAAAACCGGCAACAATGATTCAATCACCTCCCACTAGGTCCCATCCACAACATGTGGGAATTCTGGGAGATACAATTCAAGATGAGATTTGGATGTGGACACAGCCAAACAATGTATTTCCACCCCTGGCCCCACCAAATCTCATGTCCTCACATTTTAAAACCAATCATGCCTTCCCAACATTCCCCCAAAGTCTTAACTAATTTCAGCATTAACCTAAAAGTCCACAGTCCAAAGTCTTATCTAAGACAAGGCAAGTCCCTTCCACCTATGAGCCTGTGAAGTCAAAAGAAAGCTAGTTACTTCCTAGATACAATAGGGGTATGGGTATTGGGTAAATACAGCCATTCCAAATGGGAGAAATTGGCCAAAATAAAGGGGTTACAGGGCCCATGCAAGTCAGAAATCCAGTGGGACAGTCTAATTGAAAGCTCCAAAATGATCACCTTTGACTCCACGTCTCACATCCAGGTCATGCTGATGCAAGAGGTGGGTTCCCATGGTCTTGGGCAGCTCCAGCCTTGTGGCTTTGCATGGTACAGCCTCCCTCCTGTCTGCTTTCACAGGCTGGCATTGAGTGTCTGTGGCTTTTCTAGGTGCATGGTGCAAGCGGATCTACCATTCTGGGGTCTGACAGATGGTGGGCTTCTTCTCACAGCTCCACTAGGCAGTGCCCCAGTAGGGACTCTGTGTGAGGGCTCTGACCCTACATTTCCCTTCCACATTGTCCTAGCAGAGGTTCTCCATGAAAGCCCCACCCATGCAGCAATTTTTGCCTGGGCATCCAGGCATTTCCAAACATCTTCTGAAATCTAGGTGGAGCTTCCCAAACCTCAATTCTTGACTTCTGTGCCCCTGCAGGCTCAACAGCACATGGAAGCTGCCAAGGTTTTGGGCTTCCACCCTCTGAAGCCACAGCCTGAACTGTACATTGACCCCTTTCAGCCATGGCTGGAGAGGCTGGGACACAGGACACCAAATCCCTGGGCTTCATACAGCATGGGGCCCCTGGGCCTTGCCCATGAAATCATTTTTTCCTCCTGGGCATCTGGGCCTGTGATGGAAGGGCTGCCTTGAAGGTCTCTGACATGGCCTGAACATTTTCCCCATAATCTTGGGGAGTAAGATTAGGCTCCTTGCTATTTATGCAAATTTCTGCAGCCAGCTTGAATTTCTCCCCAGAAAAATGGGCTTTTATTTTTTATCACATAGGATGCAAATTTTCCAAATTTTTATGCTCTACTTCCCTTATAAAACTGAATGCATTTAACAGTACCCAAGTCACCTCTTGAATGCTTTGCTGCTTAGAAATTCCTTCCACTGGATACCCTAAATCATCTCTTTCAAGTTCAAAGTTCCACAGATCTCTA
Source organism: Homo sapiens (assembly GCF_000001405.40). Taxonomy (NCBI): domain Eukaryota; kingdom Metazoa; phylum Chordata; class Mammalia; order Primates; family Hominidae; genus Homo; species Homo sapiens. Next base: position 68,846,131 of record NC_000006.12, on the reverse strand, counting down.
GGGCAGGGGCAAAATGCTGCCAGTTTATTTGCTAAAACATAGCAAGAGTCACCTTTACTCTAGCTTCCGAGAGGTTCTTCATCTCCATCTGAGACTGCTTCAGCCTGGACCTTACTTTTCATATCATTATCAGCATTTTGGTCAAAAACATTCAACAAGTCTCTAGGAAGTTCTAAACTTTCCCACATTTTCCTGTCTTCTTCTGAGCCCTCGAAATCATTCCAACCTCTTCCTGTTACCCAGTTCCAAAGTCAGTTCCACATTTTGGGGTATCTTTTCAGCAGCACCCCACTCTACTGGTATAAATTTACTGTAGTATTTCATTTTCACAATGCTGATAAAGACATGCCTGAAACTGGGAACAAAAAGAAGTTTAATTGGACTTACAGTTTCACATGGCTGGGGAGGTCTTACAATCATGGCAGAGGGTGAAAGGCACTTCTTACATGGTGGCAGCAAGAAAGGATGAGGAAGAAGCAAAAGCAGAAACACCTGATAAACCCATCAGATCTCGTGACACTTATTCACTATCACAAGAATAGCATGAGAAAGACCTACTCCCATGATTCAATTACTTCCCCCTAGGTCCTTCCCACAACACGTGGGAATTCTGGGAGATACAATTCAAGTTCAGATTTGGATGGGGACACAGCCAAACCATATCACACAGTTACAGAAGCCAGACATCAGAAATCAGCATTTCCCCAGGGCTGGTCTTTCAGCAAGCTCTGGAAGAATAATCTGTCCCATGCCTCTCTCCAGGTTCTGGGGCTGTCACTGTGCTTGGTGTTCCTTGACTTATAGATGCATCACTCCAATCTCTGCCTCTATCATCAAATGGTTTTATCTTCTGTGTCTTCCACTCTTTCTTTTTAATTTTTATCAGTACATAATAGATCTATATATTTATGAGGAACATGAGATATGTTGATACAGGCATACAGTGTATAATAGTCACATCATGCTAAGTGTGATATCCATTTACCTCAAGTATTTAACCCTTTCTTGTGTTACAGTCTTTAGTTACTTCAAATGTATAATGAAATTATTATTGACTGTAGTCACCCTGTTTTTCCATCAAATACCAGATCTTATCCATTATTTCTATTTTTTTGTATGCATTAGCCATCTCCACTTCCCTCCCCACCTCCCACTACCCTTCCCAGACTCTGGTAACCATAATTCTACTCTGTGGTTTCATGAGTTCATTTGTTTTGATTTTTAACTTTCACAGATAAATGAGAACATGTGAAGTTTGTTTTTCTGTGCCTGACATTTCATTTAACCTAATGACCTCCAGTTCCATTCCTGTTGTTGCAAATGACATCGTCTCACTCTTTTTTATGGCTGAATAATACTCCATTTTGTGCATGTACCAAATTTTCTTTATCCATTTTTGTCTGCTGATGGGACACATAGGTTGCTTCCCAATCTTGGCTATTTGAAGAGTAATGCAATAAACATAAGAGTGCAAATATCTCCTCCATATCCTGATTACTTTTGGGTATACACCTAGCAGTGGGTACTTCTATTATTTTAGAGAAACCTCCACACTGCTCTCCATAGTGATCATACTACTTTACATTCCCACCAACAGTTCAGGATGGTTCCCTTTTCTCCACATCCTTACTAGCATTTGTGATTACCTGTCTTTTAGATAAAAGCCATTTAACTTGTGTGAGATAATATCTCATTGCAGCTTTCATTCACATTTCTCTCATAATGGATGTCTTTGTATTTTGTCTTTTGATAAATGTTTATTCATATCTTTTACCCATTTTTAAATTGGACTATTGGATTTTTTTTCTTATAGAGTTGTTTGAGCTCTTTTTTCTAGTTATTAATCATTTGTGAGATGGTTAGTTTGCAAATATTTTTCTTTTTTTCATTCTGTGAGTTGTCTCTTCATTTTGTTGATTGTTTCTTTTGCTGTACTGAATCATTTAACTTCATGTAATACCATTTGTCCATTTTTGCTTTGGTTGCCTCTACTTGTGGGGTATTATTCAAGAAATCTTTGCCCAGACCAATGTCCCAGAGGGTTTCCCCAATGTTTTCTTGTAGTAGTTTCATAGTTTGAGGTCTTAGGTTTAAGTCTTCAATCCATTTGCATTTGATATTTGTATATGTGAGAGATAGGAATCTAGTTTTATTCTTCTGCCTATGGATAGCCAGTTTTCCCAGCACCATTTATTGAAGAGATAGTTTTTCCCCAATGTACATTCTTGGCAGCTGTGTTATCAAGGATTTCACTGTAGGTGTATGGATTTGTTTCTGAGTTGTCTATTTTGTTCTATTGGTCTATGTGTCTGTTTTTATGTGAGCACCATGCTGTTTTGGTTACTATAGCTCTGTAGTTTAATTTGAAGTCAGGTAATGTGATTCCTCCAGTTTTATTCTTTTTGCTCAGGACAGCTTTGGCTATTCTGAGTCTTTTGTTGTTCCATACACATTTTAGGATTTTTTTTTTCTATTTCTATGAATATTGTCATTGGTATTTTGACACAGATCACTTTGAATCTATAGATTGCTTTGGAAAATATAGATATTTAAACAATATCGATTCTTCCAATCCATGAACATGGAATATCTTTCCATTTGTTAGGGTCATCTTCAATTTCTTTCATCAATGTTTTATAGTTTTCATTGTAGAGATCTTTCACTTCCTTATGTTAATTTCTAGGCATTTAATTTTATTTGTAGCTATTATAACTGGAATTACTGTTTGGTTTCTTTTTCAGATTGTTTGTTGTTGGCATATAGAAATATTAATGATTTTTATATGTTGACTTTGTATCCTGCAACTTTACTAAATTTGTTTATTATCTCTAATAGTTTTTGGTAGACTCTTTGGGTTTTTTGAAATATAAAATCATATAATATGCAAACAAGGATAACTTGACTCCTTCCCTTCCAATTTGGATGCCATTTCTTTCTCTTTTCTGATTGCTCTAGATAGGACTTCCAGTACTATATTGAATGACAGTAGTGAAAGTGCGCATCCTTATCATGTTTCAGATCTTAGAGGAAAGGCTTTCAGTTTTTCCCCATTCAGTACGACATTTCCTGTTTTTTTTTTTGTTGTTGTATATGGCTTTTATTGTGTTGAGGTACATTCTTTCTACACCCAGCTTTTTTTATGTTTTTTACCATAAAGTGATATTGAATTTTATCAAATGCTTTTTTCAGCATCGATTGAAATGATCATATAGGCTTTGTCCTTCATTCTGTTTATATGATGTTTCATATTGATTGATTTGCATACATTGAACTATCCTTGCATCCCTGAGATAAATCCCACTTGGTGATGATGAATGATCTTTCTAATGTATTGTTGAGTGTATTGTTTGCGAGTATTTTGTTGAGGATTTTGACATTAATGTTGATCAGGGATATTGGTCTGTAGTTTTCTTTTTTTTGATATGTCTTTGCCTGGCTTTGGTATCAGGGTAATACTGGCATCACAGAATGAGTATGAGAGTATTCTCTCCTCCTCTATTTTGCAAAACTAGTTTGAGTAGGATCAATATTACTTCTTCTTTAAATGTTTTGTAAAATGCAGTAATGAAGCCATTGAGTTGAGGGTTTTACTTTCCTGGGAGGCCTTTTCTTATGGCCTTGATCTGGTTACTTAATCTATTCAGGTTTTGGATTTCTTCATATTTCAATTTTGATAGGCTGCATGTGTCTAGGAATTTATTCATTTCTTCTAGGTCTTCCAATTTATAGGTGTATAGTTATATAGTTCCTAACATTAGCCTCTAATGATGTTTTGAATTTTATAGTATCAGTTGTATTGTCTCCTTTTTTCATCTCTAATTTTATTTATTTGGATTTTTTTTAGTTAGCCTGGCTAAAAGTTTGTCAATTTTATTTATCTTTTCAAAGAACTCACTTTTTGGTTCATTGATTTTTGTATTATTTTCTTCATTTCAATTTAATTAATTTTTAAATTTTTGATTTTTAATTTTTGTGGGTACTTAGTAGATGTATATAGTTATATGTTAAATGAAATACTTTGATATAGGCATGGAATGTATGATAATTACATCATGGTAAATAGGGTATCCACTTCCTCAAGCATTTATCTTTTGTGTTGCAAAAAATCCAATTATACTCTTTCAGTTACTCTAAAATATACAATTAAATTATTATTGACTATAGACATCCTGTTGTGCTAAAATACTAGGTGTCATTTGTTTTTCCTATTTTTTGTACCAATTAAGCAATCCCACTCCTTGCCACACACACACCCTCACTACCCTTCCTAGCCTCTGTTAACCATCTTTCTATTTTCTATCTACATTTGTTCAATTGTTTTAATTTTCAGTTCCCACAAATAAGTGAGAACATGTGAAGTCTTTCCTTTCGTGAGTCTTTATTACTTCTTTTCTTCTATTAATTCTGGGTTTGGCTTTCTCTTCCTCTCCTAGTTCTTCAAGATGCATCATCAGGTTGTTTATTTGAAGTTTTTCTACTTTTTTGATGTAGGCACTCAGAACTATAAACTCTCCTCTTAGTGCTGCTTCGCTATATCCCATAGATTTTGGTATGTTGTGTTTCCATTACCATTTGTTTAAAGAGATTTTTAAATTCTCTTCTTAATTTCTCCATTGATTCACTGGTCATTCAGGAGCATATTGTTTAATTTCCATGAGCTTGTATAGTTTGAAAAATTCCTCTTGTTATTTATTTCTATTGATAGTTTTATTCCATTGTGGCCAGAGAAGGTACCTGATATTATTTCAAATTTTTTGAATGTCTCCAGACTTGTTTTGTGGCTTAACATATAGTCTATCCTTGAGAATAATCCATGTGCTGAGGAAAAGAATGTGCATTCTGTAGCTGCTAGATGAAATGATCTGTAAATATCTATTAGGTCCATGTGTTCTATCATGAAGAGTAAATCTGATGTTTCTTTATTAATTTCCTGACTGGATGACCTGTCCAAAACTGAAAATGTGTTGTTGAAATCTCCAGCTATTATTGTATTGGGGTCTGTATCTCCCTTTAGTTCTAATAATATTTGTTTTCTATATTGGGGTGCTTCAGTGTTCGGTACATATATATTTGCAGTTGATATATCATCTGGATGAATTATCCCTTTTATCATTATCTAATGATCTTCTTTGACTCATTTAATAGCTTTTGTCTTGAAATCTACTTTTTCTGATGTAAGTATAGCTACTGCTCATTTTTGGTTTCCGTTGGCATGAAATATCTTTTCTATCCCTTTATTTTCAGTCTATGTGTTTAATTACAGGTGTAGTGTATTTCTTGTGGGCAACAGATCATTAGGTCTTGTTTTTTATCCATTTGTCTACTCTATGTCTTTCGATTGGAGAGTTTAGTCCATCTACATTCAATGTTATTATTCATAAGTAAGGATTTACTCCTGCCTTTTTGTTATTAATTTCTGTTTTGTTTGTTTGTTTGTTTGTTTTTGTGATCCTCCCTACCTCTTGAATCTACCTGGTTCTCTATTAACCTGCAGCTGAGCTGACACCCAACCCACAAGACAAGGTCTTTCCCTCCCATTTCCAAAAGCAGAGGAGTCTCCCCATGGCAGCCACCAGCACAGGCCCTTGGGGCAGGCTGTCCGAGCTACTTGAGAGGTTGAGGTGGAAGGATCACTTGAGCCTAGGCCCAGGAGGCAGAAGTTGCAGTGAGAGGTGATTGTGCCACTGCACTCCAGCCTAGGTGACAGAGAAAGACCTTGTCTCAAAAAAAAAAAAAAAAAAAAAAAAAAAAAAAAAAAAAAAGACTGCCCAGTGCCTTACTCCACTGCCCCACTGTGGCCTGATGTAGTATCTAAGTTGCAAGACAAAGTCCTCTTTACTCTTCCCTCTCCTTCTACAGAAAAAAGAAAGGAGTCTCTTTCAGAGCTGCAACATCTTTGGCCACCCCAGCTTGGTGTCTTACTAGTTCACGTGTCCCCCAAATACACTTGCTCTGAGCCTGGAACAGCTCTAGGAATTGCTTAGGAGTTGCAGTCTTTGTGGCCTAGAATGCCTTTCAATTTTATTTAGAATCCCAGAGTATTAGCCTGTGGTGGTGAGTTTTGCCAGAACTCACGTTCTGACCATTGGGATGGGCGATTCCCCTCTGGGTAGGTCTGTTCTAAATGCTGCTTCTATGGGCACCTGCCAATTTCTGTCTGGTGTTGCTTTCCACTGTAAAAGGAAAGGACTAAGCTTTAATGCAACATCCCACAATCACTGTGCTCTCCCTCCCCTATGCATACAAGATTTTGTTTCCATGCCCCACTGCAGCTGCCATAAGACAGGGGAGGGTTGGCATGGGCAATTCAAGACTGTCTTTCCTGCTGTCTTCAGTGCCTTTTTCAGTAATATGAACTTAAAACCAGGTACTATAATTGCTCATCTGATTTCTGCTTCTTATGAAGGGCTCTTTTTTGTGTAAATAGGTGTTACATTTGGTGGTTCTGCAAGGAGGATGATCAGTAGAGGCTTTTGTTTGGCTATCTTTCTCCATCTCCCTCCATTTGCTTTTCTAATGGCCAGTGAGGAGCAGAAGTGTAAGGCTAGGTACAGACAGAGTCCACATGGCCAATAGGAGTTTGGAAATTTGTTCCTATAAGGTGACATCTATGTAAAGTTTGGTCATCAAAAAGTCTTATCTCTGGATACTTGGGAGAATGATGGAGCAAACCTTCCCAGAAAAGTAAGCATTGTCCACATAGAAATGGTAAAATTGGCCTTTTGGCATACGGCTCTTTTGACACTACATAATGAAGTCACCATATGAGAAGCTATGTATTTTGAAGTTCATAGTTTTAGATACATTTTGATTAAAATATATTACAACACTGGAGCAGAGGAATGGCAGAGGAACACAACTTTACCTGATTTTGTGAGAAGCTAGATGTTGTTGCAATTCCTAAGAGAAGATGACAGAAAAGATATCTGCATTTCTATAGCAGCTCACAATGAGGACCACATTTCTAATTTAGACAACTTAATGACTTGTTATAGGAAGGTCTAATGTGTGTATGTGGGAATGTGTGTGTGTGTGTGTGTGTGTGTGTGTGACAGAGAGACAGAGAGAGAGGAAGGAAGAGAGAGAGAAAGAGAGATAGAGAGAGGGCAAATGTGTTCCTCTCAGGTCATGTAACCAGTTTAGTTTTTCTTTTTGTGTTTTTGTGTTGACTTGGAACTGAAAGCCAATTTGGCTTCACTATTAGTTTAGTGTTTGTCTTGACTTAATTTTGTTTTAATTGTCTGTTTATATTTTATGTGTCTGTAAGCCACTTCAAAAAGATTCTGAAATGAATCAGAAGAAAAACAAATAAATGCAAACTGACACATGAAATAATCTCCAAAACAACACTTGAATTTAGCTGAAACAGCATATCCACTTTGCATATCAGCATATCAAGCATGGAGAGGTAAAGCAATTTGTATAAACTAAGTCACTAAATAAATAACAGCTCTAAAACTCTGAACTTAGGATCCCAACACCTACTTAAACCAATGTGCTTTCTAGCATCCCATTTGACTTTGCTACAACAATTTATTTTGCTAACAACACAGTTTACCAAATAAATTAATTATAGTATCACTTGTCATGACATCTAATCTGAATTTGTAGTATTTGAAAAATGACGCAATGGTGGAATGGGAAGCACAAAGGGGAAGCAAAGTAAATCCAGCTAAATTCAGGAATAGAAGTTTGTTTTTTGTTTCTTTGTTTCTTTTTAATACTATATTATGAGTGAGAAAAGAAAATGAGGTAAATTGCTGCATATAACCTCAGGAGCTATATTACTGCGAGTTTTACAGTTTATAAATGAGCTACAAAGGGAGGACAGTCACAGTAAGCTCATCTAGTCAGTTTTGGGTGTCCCTCTGATCTGTTAACATTAATTCCTCATTTGAGGAGACATTGGGAAATGAGCGTTGATAATGCATGAAGGTTCTATTAAGCTCTTTTAAGAGAAAGCCTCCAGCAACTGGATTCTGAAGCTAGATTCTGTCATCCTGGTAGCAGTTGGCAGAGTTCCTGGCATTCCTTTACCTATCATTGTCCAGGCTGGTATTTTCCTGTACATTTTTTCTTTCTGAATACTGAGTTTTCCTCTGATTTTTTTTTCCACATAAAAAGGAAAACAGAAGTGTGGGAAAATCAAGATCCAGAATCAAGGCATAACTATCAGAATGCCTTGGAAGTTAACTTTGATGGGCTTTCTTATAGCTCAGCTTGAGATAATGTTTGGTAGTTCCTACTATAAATATATTTTAAACCTGGCTAAATCCATAGACAGCAGGATTCTCCTTGAAGAAAGTGAGTGGGAGTCTAAGTACACAGGTGGCTCAAACGATAAATCCACTCAGAGGGAATCTTGGCCTTCAGAAACCATGAAATAGCCCCCCATTCCCCTCCAGATCAACAAACCAATTTTCCAAGTGAGAAAGACTATAATCTCTTATTGGAAAGATCATCTTTAAGCCCATATCTATTTCTTCAGCTAGGTATGTCAATGATCCCTGAATGATACAAATCACTTTCTATCTTATTTCAAGTCTTTAAAAAGAGCAAATGAAACTTTTTATTGATAAAATCTTTTGCTTTAAAGGATATATACTCTACAGAAATCTTTACATTTATCTATGTTATATCATACAAATGGCAAATGAATTTTTCCATATTATCTATAAAGATATTTGAACAGTTGCACAAATAACAATTATAGCTATGATTAATGTAAAATAAATTTATAGCATAAAAATTAATTGTAATGGAAGAATATATCAACTATTGTTGACTTTTCACTTTTTACATTATATTGATAGTACAAATTGTTAGCATCTTTATTTATTCTTATAGTCTCACACATCTCATAATATAGCAAGTATCAAAAGCAGCAGGTTTATGAACCCAGATTTAATTATTTCCTATACTTCAGGTAAGCCTAACAGCCAGCAAGTTACTTACAGAGAAAAGCTCTTTAGTTTTTGTTTTGTATGCAGTTCCTGGTTTGGGGTGTGCATGATTTAATAAATTAATATATTTCTTTCTATCAAAAATATTTGAGTAGGACAGAGCCCATTGAGAGGGCTAGAGGTTAGACTGATGAGTGGAGAATTGGAGAAAGAAAAAGCTAAACAGTTTTTCATATTCTGTAAATTAAGATCCTCAAAAGGCAGGTTACTTTTTTGAAGGCATATGGATTTTTAATACCTTAAATTCATTATCAAATACAAATGAATTCTGAAGTTCCATGCATCATATTTTCATGAATAACTTCATTCCACCTTCACATTTCACTCTTTAAAAAAAATAAAATAGAGATGGAGTCTCACTATGTTGCTCACGCTGGTCTCAAACTTCTGGGCTCAGGCAAACCATCTGCCTCAGCCTCCTAAAGTATTGGGGGTTACAGGTTTGAGCCACTGCACCCAGCCAACGTTTCACTTCTAAGTAAGATATATGGCAGGGAGATAAGAAATTATGTGTTGTTGCTCTCTACAATGAACAGGGCAATGCCGTTTTTCCATACCAGATTAAACATCTATCCATACTTGCAGCAGACAGCTCATCAGAATTTCAGAGGGCACTGACCACATTTGAATGTAATGTGGAACCTCAAGTTGAAGATGCTGAAGTAAGACTGTCTCTGCTTGAATCTTCTTTCTGAAACTAACCAACAAGAATACAAATGCAGGAAATAAGGAGTTTTCTCCATCTTTGCTGAAACTAAAAAACAGCTAAAACCCTGAACCACAATCTAGGAAAACAGATTACGGAAAGCAGAAAAAATGGTGCAGGGAAGAAGTAAAGAGTGAACCCATTCCAATGCATCTCTCAGGTAACATACACTCTTCAGTGCCACACCAGCGCCCCTTGCCTAGAAAGACAAGATCTAGGTGTGTGGGCAGGAGTGCACTAGATTCCAGAGTCATTTATCAAAGGGTAGCAGGGAGGTTGGGGCCAAGTGAGAAAGAGCTTCATGGCATTTCTAATACAACTCAGGCTTTTAGTTTGCCACATGGAAGAGCAAAAGTCAACTCAGCAGCTGTGTTTTCGATATACTAGAGAAAAGAAGTGCAATGTTCAGAACTGGTGATATGCAGAGTGTTAGAAATGCAAAGCATGTTAGCCAAGCAGATCCGCTAGCCAAGAGTAGAGGTGGTCTCCTTGTAGAGTGGAGGTCTTGATATAGGCCTAGTCCCAGGATCCACCAGCTAATAGCCCACTAGCTTATATCCCAACATTGTTCTTCAAAAAATTGCTGGGACCGGGAAAATAAATAATCCACTAAACAATGAGTGATATTCAGAAGGAAATCTGCTTTTAACCAAAATCAAAGCAAAAAACAATGCTACAAGAAAAATATGAGAAAAAAACCAGTTGAAGAATCCATAACAGAAAAATTATACTGTAAAGCAGACAAAACTATAAATAGATTCCTTAAGAATCTAAATTATAGATGTTGTGACCTCTCTAATCTAAGAACTCTAAAAAAAACATGTAAGGGCTCCAAAAGGAAAACACAAGAGATGAAATTTGAGCTGGAAGAGTCAGGGTAAAAATGAAAAGGAAAAAAAGATAATAGGAACATATATCATGTTTATGTGAGTTTGGGGTGTAACTTAGTTCCTTAATAAGTCATGTAGACTGTTTGCATTTGCATTTAGGATAAATTTTTTTCTAGGATAATTGAAAAAAATACACATAATTCTTTATTATACAAATAAGAGAACAAGGAAGCAGCACACATCATTTGCATATATTTTGTCTAACTACAAACTCCACAAAAAGAAGACGATCAACTACTTCAAATATTCCAGTGATATAAATTCAAGCCAAATAAGGAAAACAGTGTTGGTGTAATCATGACAAGTCAAATCGCCTAGACCCTCTGTGAGGTTCAGCAAAGCCTCCCCACCAGAATGCAGCGAATATATGGAAAGTATTTAAAATAATGCCTCCTTATTTTAGCAAACATAACACCCAAACATATCTTGAAGTCCCATTGTGTAAGGTCAAAGTTTAATGTGTTCTGAAACTGACAAAAATATTTTCTGACAAAAAAACTTTCTCCTACAATTCTCCTCTAATAGTGTATGTCAAATATTTTATGAATTGATATTATATAAATAAATACGTTCTATAGTTTTTAAATGCTTGGATTTTTTTTAACTCACATATTTTCAATTATACTAGGTAGTAACTTAGTTTGAGGAAAAAAAAAATACTTACATTCAATTTGACCGAAACTTAAAGGCTTGGGGTCTGACCCAGATTCTTCAAAGCGAAATCTTGAACTCTACTTTATAAACAGTATATTCACATGTCCTGCTGAATTCAGTCATGATCCTCGTACTTTCTTGCTTTAGTGACTCATCAGTTTGGAGTCAGTGGCCATCCATAATATATTCTTCCAGCCCGTCTCAGCACTGAACAGATGGAGTATCCACAAATAAACCCAGCAAAACTAACTCAAAATTTAAAGGCTGGAGAAATATCGAGTTGAAATTTTCTCCTAAAGAATTTAAACTTGGCTGCAATCTTCTAGATTTCTGATCCTTCACAAAAAGTGGCTATTTTTTTAAGTTGCTTTGTTCTATAATTTTGAATTTAGCTCAACTCGTCACAGAGGGGAATCATCAAACTACCTTAAATCACTTATATTTTAGATTTTTTATAGAAAATTATATAAACACACATGAAATTCTAAGCATAGTACCATTATTCTCTTAATAATATCCCATTTTTTCTGGATTACAGCATTGTTCTCTACTTAGGAGACCATAAAGTTTAAGTAACTATTCTTACAGGGTTATTAGCCTTGTGCTGATCCACACATACACTCTTGCTGATGTAAATTTTGAGCTTTATACAGTAAGAATTACGTGCAGCACAGCATTGGGAACCTCAAGAAACTGACATGATGTCATGTGATTTTGGGTATTATATAGACTGAAAAATTGCAGAGTTGCACAGAATGATATAAAAGAGTTTACCATTTAGACTAGGTTTGCATGTTATTTTTCTTTGCATAGCACAATTATGTTGATTTATAAACAGAAGTTGGTTTCCAGATTATCAGATTCATGTTTCATTCATTTAAAAATTTTTATAAATTACTCACATATGTAAGCACTGTGCTTGGTGCTGAGGACACTGCAGAGAGCAAAGGAAAAAAAAAACCTTCCTGTATAGAGTTTACACTTTATAACAAAGGAAAATATTTTCCTCTTAACTTGATTATCACAGCAAACAAATTGACATTTTAATCTCCATCATTTTATCTTTTCTAATTCCAGAAAAATATATTTGTTTGGATTATTTTTGGATGTAATCATTATGAATGTTTTGCCTGTAATATAGGGTTAAATGATGTGTAAGTTATGAATTGCCCTTAGTGGTGATTGTTAAGAAAATAGCAACTTTTTTCTATTTTAAACAAATTTGCAAAATATTAATGAATTTTATTGTTTTAGTATGTTAAATTATATGTAGCTAATTGGTTTACTGATCTCAGTAAAACAAGAAGATAATGAAGATTCTAAGTTCAAATACTTCATTCTTTAATATAAGAATACTTATCCAGTTAAAACAATAAGGAAATTGATTTTCTTTTTAACTGCTTGATAATATGAACAGTGTAATAACATTTTAGTTCAATGATTCGATTTTCAAATTTTAAACTTGACCAAAGCCACAAACTGAAGGACTCGATATATTGTGTTGCTCTGATACCAAAAAGCTTTTATATTACCAAGAATAGTATAACATTAAAGAACTATAATATTTGTAATATCTTCTCTCCTAGTCACATAATTTTTTCTATCTTATTTTATATATAATACATTAAGATTCTTTTTAATAAAAAATGCTTGTTCTATCTTGGATGAAATAATCTGTATTATTTAAAAATAACTTTATTAAAATAATTCACCATGAACAGTTACATGTATGAAATGAAATCAAGAAACATTAAGGTATCTTGACATTGTCAATTGTATACATATGATCTTTCCTATAAAGAATGGATGTGGTTATTTTGGTTTAAAATCATGAACCTTTGAAAGGAACAGGTCTTTTAAAAAGTCTTCCTGCAACAACCTTGTCTTAAATGGGCTGATCATATTTCTGAGCACACTGCTGGTAATAGCACACAGAAAAGTACACAGTGGGCAGATGCTAACATGTCAAAATGGGAGGATCATCAACAGAAATTTCAGATTTCCAGGCAGGCAGAAGTAAATGTTGTGCTGTTCCTTTAGAACAAGCATGCTTCTGATTCAGACAGAACAGATAGTGTTCTCCAAACTTATTTTCCAGAGATATAAATGAATTCATATAATATTTCTACTTCTGTCCACCCACTCTCTTTTATTTTTAACCAATATTGCACAGCTGCAAATATGGCCAAAGTGGAGAGTGAATTTGTGGCCATGAGAAAGACAAGTAAAAGTCCCACATAGAATTTGAACCCTTAATTGATCTTTCTAGTATCATACTCCAACCAATCTAATAACAATGATGCAATGAAAAAATTAGATAAAAAAGATACATTGAAAAATGAAAATGCATGCTGTTATAATTAAGGCAGTAACGTATCATCTTTGTTGATATGATTTACTGGGAAAATATTTCACTATATCTTTAATTTTAGACTTTGGGTCTAGAGGCAAATTAATGTGGGAAACTCAGAAATGAGCATGAACCCTCTTACTATGGAAATTAAGAGTCTAGTCGAGGAGGTGAAATGAGTAGTCAAATAATTATGAAGCAAAGAAAAAAATGATAAGTGTCTTTACTAAGACTATGACATACTTTTTAAATAAACAGAGACAAATCAACATTATACCTTTCTCAGGTTTATAGAAGCACATTTATTTTTAAGAATTGTGTTAGATTTAAACATCTTAATATTATTTAATAATACTTTCTGAATGTCTTTCTACACAAGTATGTTTATGTCAACAATCTTAAGAGTTTTATATTAATTTTGTCTAATCCTACTAGATTATTCACGCTTTGGATACAAAGTTCAATTCAGAATGTATGCTTTAAAATATGTACAAGTAATTAAAATGAAGTAGTCTTATTTAAACTCCTAATGTTGGAACTTAAAAGAAAAGGTAGCTGTTAAGTTGATACTTAGTGATAACACACGATGCTATTAACAATGCCATCATTAAGTCTGCATGTCCATTTGGGCTCGGATCATTGTCGTGTGAGTCAAAAGAGTTACATATTATGAAACTACAAATTTAGGAGTGATCTGAAACAGATTTTGCCACTCTAATGAAGGAAGGATGAAAATGCTATTTAAGGCAGAGGATGTAATTCAAGATATAACTATGTTCCCAAACTTTGGGGGCACAACTTATTTCTCATTTCATTTGACTTTCTGGAGAATCTAATCCTTTTGACTATTTCCTTCTTAAAACTATTTCCACGTTGACTTCCAGGTGTCCACTCCATTCTGGTTTTCTTACTACCTCTCCTGGCAACCTCAGATGATGAGTTTCCTAAGGTTCCACACTCGATCATCTTGTTTCCTCACCCACAAGCTCTCTCTCAGAGTTCTCATTCACTACCCCGTGCTCAAAACTAGCTAAGTTGAATGACTGTGAAACCCCAACCAAACAGACTTCTATATCTCATAGGGAGAAAACAACTGTTCTGAGAAATCTGATAAATACAACTCAGTCTTCTCTTTTAAGCTCTACACTCCTTTTCTCAACTGCTGAAAGACTTTTCCACCTAAAAAGTCCATAAAAATCTGGAATACTTCAAATTCAGCATGTCCAAAACCAGTAAAATCAGCTTTTTTTTTTTTTTTTTTTTTTAATCTTCTCCACCTTTGCATTCACCATTTTCCCGCCGCCTAAGTGAGTAGCCTTGGGCTCTTCTTTGACTTCTTTTCTGTCTTTTGTACTCATATCTAGTTCATCACCACGTTTTTTATTGTGTCTCTATAGCTTTGTCAAATGTGCCCCTTCTTGTATTCCTTTCCCTACCGTAATGCAGCACTTTGTCATCTTTCACACAGATTATTGCAGGAGTTTCCCACTTTGTCTGTATTTCCAGGATTCCTTTCTCAATTCACCTTCTATAATGTTATTAAAATTCAGCATTAAATGTAGGTTAGATCACGTTATACCCATTTGTTTTCAGCATTCTCTTTTTTTTTTTTTAAGTTGTTCTGCCATACATGTTTTGATGACTTCCAAATTCTTTAGTACAGTGTGTGTGGCAGGTGGGGTTTTCCCAAAACTTCGAAATTAGGTGGCAGACCATGATTTTAGCACTGTCCCTTATTTCCCTCCCCACTCCCTGACCCATGCTCCAGAGTAAAGATTACCACCCTCGGCTCACTACGATCTTTCATCTTCCATGCCTTTGTACAGATGGATAAAATGAATATAATCAAGTAGTAAAAGCCCATATTTTCATTACTAATTTTATATCAACTTAGTTTCCTCTCTCATAACCTTGACTTCTTCTGCTGGATAATCAATTCCTGACATTTTCAGTTTCATGGTATTTTAAAATATATCATTTCTGGCCAGTTACAATAAAAAATGCCAGTGAAATTAAGAAAAGTTCAGAAAAGGAATTTACTTTTCCAAATAGTAATATACTAGTTATTTTAATTTAAACTAAAAAACATTATTGCCAAACGTCTGAATGCAAATAATATATAGAAGAAAGAACTAGGACAGAAATTCCAAGTTCTATATATTGCTTTTGGACAGTGAATTTGTTGGAATTGAGAGATCTTGGTTACAGAAAAAGGTGGTTCACATTATAAATTCCATTTCTGAATATGAAACTTTGCTTACTTTGAAATTTTCTTCTTTTCTTCCCCTTGATCTAGCATTTTATTGTCCATGTGACAGTAAAAGGCAAGATATTTCCAGATCTGATACCATCAGAGATCTGAAAATGTCAAAAATAATACTTGCTAATGGAGACCGTTAACAGTCCCTGATTATGGAAATACTTATGATTCATAAGAAATCAAGACTTTTCTTAAAATAAGCCTCAGCTACCACTATTTTTTTGAAAGTGAAAACTTGGATGGTGCTTTTTACATCTGTTTTGATTGTAAAATCTTAGCTGTTTATTGCCTCCCTTAAACAAAGTATATTTCTACTCACTGATAATTTAGTATACTTGGTATGTCTGAATAGCAGATACAGCTATCTATTTCAAACACTCATTTTTATCATTATGTTCTATCTTATATGAGATTATTTTATTTCCTCTTCTAATAATAGTAAATTCCATTTAGAGCATTTTCTATTATAATCAAAGTGAAAATAGAACTCCTGTTACATGATAGTCATTTTAGATAAATGTGGAAAAATCAATAACCTGAATAATTTGATTTTTAAGCAAACAGTTTTAATTATGCTTCAATTCAAAAGCAGATCCAAAGAAAAATAATTACCTGAAATTTCTAAATGTATTTGTAAATTTTTTGTTTTACATTTATAAAAATCAGGACCTTGAGTAATAATATGGTTTTGTTAAAAATATATTTAATAATTCAAAGTATTGCATTAGGAATCTAAGTAGTTTTATGTAACCCTTCATGCCACCTTAATTCCTTCATTTTCTTGACTTTGTATCAGAAAATTCTCCACTTATTTGATGCTAAAAACTGTTAGGACTTAATTTTGCTTTGGTTCTACAGCAATGATCTAATAACACAACAGTTATTTATAAGTTATTTAGTTAAACATGCCTGGGTGCGGTGGCTCATGCTTGTATTCCCAACACTGTGGGAAGCCGAGGTGGGTGGATCATTTGAGGTCAGGAGTTTGAGATCAGCCTGGCCAATATGTTGAAACTCCGTCTCTACTAAAAATAAAAAAAAATTAGCTGGGCATGGTGGCGGGAGCCTGTAATCCCAGTTACTGGGGAGGCTGAGGCAGGAGAATTGCTTGAATCCAGGAGGCAGAGGTTTCAGTGAGCCGAGATTGTGCCACTACACTCCAGCCTGGGCAACAGAGCAAGACACCATCTCAAAAAAAAAAAAAAAAAAAAAAAAAAGTTACTTAAACAGCTATTAAAAAAAAAACAACCTGATTTGTTTTCTCTGAGATATGGGATACTTGAATCATTAGCTAACAGGATATTATGAGACTCAAGGCAGCATATTTAACTGATGGAAAATTTTAAAAATTATAAGATAATAGCTAATTTCCTTCTGTGAAAATTAATATGCTATTTTATATTTCTGTCTCATAAACTCCAGTCATACAGTGGGCATATGTAAAAGAATACTACAGACTCTATCCCGTGGTTATGGAATTAAGGTCTATATGATTTAAAACCCTTTTGATAATCACCCAGGTAGCAAGAATCAGAACCAAATCATACATTTAATTTAATTCCTAATTTGATTGAGTAGCTTATGTTCCTAGGTTTTAATTAGTGTTGAAAGTCTCCTGGCTTCTAAGTGTCAAGAAAATATTAGCCACATTGTTTTACTATTTTCTTTGTTTATATGTATATTTGTATGTACATGGAGTTTCCAGTTCAATTTGTTTTTTAATTTTGATATCCAACCTCTTCTCCCACATCCCTGACCAACCTTAATCATCAGCCTCAACACACTACCCTAAACACTTTTAGAGACCAGTGAACATTTTATTTTGGTGAGTAAATATTATAAATATTTGAGGTAGTGCTCTCTCAAAGCTATAGAATCACCATTAAAGGTTCCCAAATTGAAGCTTAGTTTTGAATGTCTAAATAACATTTTCTGTATGAACACATTTTGTCCTTTTTGGAAAATGTGCTAGAACATCTTCTTCAGAGGCAAAACTACTTACTGGCATATTGAGATTACATTCTACTTACTAAAATATGTTATCCAGCCAGCACAGTAAAATTATGGCAATAACCTTCTTAATGTATTGCACTTAGGCAGCCAAATTGAGGAAAAAAAAAAGGCACCTGTATTATTTACTTTGTACCACATAACTCTAAGTTAAATACACTGAAAAATGTTTTTAGTTCATAATAGGCTTATCAATTCATAAAACAATGAATGTCACGTAGCTACTCAGTGTATACTATGTGCGTTTTGTGCATTTTTAAGTGACTTGGTTCCAGCCCTAAGAGATTAAGTCCTAATGGTAAAGATGGATCCTAATCAGATGAACTCAAAATAAAGGGAAACTTGGATCTGTGAGAAGTGCTATGAAGGCCTGAAGGAAACCATGGGGTAAGTTCCATTGGACACGAGTGTAAGAGCATGTGCAAAGGCCCTGTGATGAGTAGGAGTGGACTTTCAGTAACTGAAAGGCCACTGTGGCTCAGCCATAGAGAAAGGGGCTAGATTATGCAGGCCTTTTGGGCTACACTAACAAAGATGATGCACTACATTTGTGAAAATAGCCACTTCTGACCATCTTGTAGACATCATACCCCTAAAAGCCCAAACCACAACTATAGAACCCCCTCCCCCCCAAAAAAAACCCTGAAGATAAACATCCTTTTAAATCCTAAGCTCTCTTGGCACTTAACAAAGACTAGCTCCTCCACTTATAACACATTAGATCTCATCCTTTCTCATCTATTCCGGAGCAAAATCCCAGCAGTTCTCTTTTCTCTCTCCCATATTATCAGTTTTTCTCTCTCTTCAGATTTTTCCCTCTACAAACTGCTGTTATGTTTACCATCTGAAAAAAAAAATCTCTTTTATCGCTGCTCCCCTACCTACCGATGGCCCCATTGCTCATTTATTATTATTATTTTTTTAAAAAATCACTTCCTTTCTTCCCATTATCTCCTGAACCTACTCCATTGAGCCTTTCCTGCCCTTTTTGCAGTCAAATTACAGTCTTCATCTTAATTGATACTATCAGTACCACTTAGGGCACTTGATCACTCCATAATTTTCATAACTTCCAGGACACCACACTTAACATGTTGTTCTCCTAATTAAAGGGCTGTTCAATATCAATCTGCCTTTCTGGCTTTCTGTCATCTCCCAAATCTCGCAATATAGAGCTCCCTAGGACTCAATCCCTACAATTTATCTCTTTTATATTCTTACTCACTACTTTGGGGAGCTTGTCAGGTGTCAACTCTTAAAATAAAATCAATACGCTTATGCCACTCAAATTTATATCTCCAGTCCTGCCCTCCCTTGGAACTACCTTTCTGTTTGAAACCTACACTAGGATGTTTAATAGGCATCTCCAAACTGACATCTCAAAACTGACCTCTCCAAGTTCTGGCCATCCTAGTCTCTCTCAGTTCATATTAAATCTATCCTTGCAGTTGTTCAGGCCAAAACAATGTAGTCATTCTTGACTCTTCTATTTCACACCCACATACAATCCATTAACAAGTCCTGTATTCTTTACCTTAAAAATACTTCCAGAATCTGACCTGACCACTTCCTGTCACTTCCACTGCTATTGTTCTGATGAAAACCACTACCCTTTGTCATCTAGGTTGCTATAATAGCCTCCTGGGGTGTCCCTGCTTTATCTTTGACCAATTCCAGTCTATCTCAACACAACATCCAGATTGATCTATTTAAAACATAAGTCAGATGACATCACTTCTATTCTGGAAGCATTCCAAAGGCTTCCAGTTCCACTTGGAGTAAAAGCCAAATTTCTTCCAGTGCCTACATAGTACACCCTTGTTATAGCTCTGAGCTCCTCTCACCATGATCACTCTGCTCCAGCCAAGCAGACTCCCTTGCTTTTATTTATCTATACCCTAACACTTCAGGGCATTTGTTTTTACTGTTCCCAGCTTCCACACAACTTCACTGGTCACCTTCTTCAATTCTTTCTTCTCAGTGAAGCCTTCCTCGAATTCCCATTTCAAGGTGTACTTTCTGCCCATACCGACACTCTCTATACTCTTTTCCTTATTTATTCCCCTGTAGCATTGATTCCCATTTGGTATACTAAATGCATTACTTATTCCTTTTAATTGTTATCTTGCCCCTACTAAAATGGAGACTTTCTAAGAGCAGGAGGTTTTGTCTGTTTCGCTCACTTTTGTGTTCCTAGCACTTAGAATCATGTCTGACACCTAGTCAGTATTCAAAATATATCTGCTGAATATATAAAGAAATGCATGATTTATTCAAAAGAAATATTTTCAGGTACAAAAAAAAAAAATGGGGAGGAAACTGAACACCAGAGTGGATAGTTAGGTCCTAAGAAGTTATTGTAAAAAGTGGTTGTATTTGTCCATTCTCACACTGCTGTAGAGAGCTGCTGAGTCTGGGTAATTTATAAAGGAAAAAGGTTTAATTGATTCACAGTTCCGCATGGCTAAGGAGGCCTCAGAAAACTTACAATCATTGCGGAAAGCAAAGGGGTAGCAAGGCACTTTCTTCACAAGGCAGCAGGAGGAAGAAGTGCCCAGTGAAGGGGAAAGAGCCCCATATAAAACCATCAGATCTCGTGAGAACTCACTCACTATCATGAGAACAGCATGGGGGAAACCACCCCCATGATTCAACTACCTCCACCTGGTCTCTCCCTTGACACATAGGGATTATGGGGATTATAGGGATTACAATTCAATATGAGATCTGGGTGGGGACACGAAGCCTAACCATATCAGTGTTCATCTAAAGTTCTGTTTCTTAATCTGTCGGTATCGAAGAGGCATTTATTTTATTGTTTTACTTACACATGACACATATGCATATATGTATGCATTCCCTTATATAGATAAATGAAAATTCTGTTTATGTGTGAAACATTACATAATACAAACTTTTAAGTGTTCTTGGGTACCTGTGAGTTATCTAGCAAAAGCAAATGCCAATCTTCTCTTGAAGGACATACCTACAATAAAGGCCATACAGAATTGTCACAGATGAAAATGTGCAAAAATATGCAGACACAGTACATATGTACAAAACATTCAAGGAGAGAAGCAACCATGAGATTAATTTACGAAAAAAAAATTAAAGCATAAGTAGACCATAAGAGGCTCAG
This sequence comes from Homo sapiens, assembly GCF_000001405.40. Classification (NCBI taxonomy): domain Eukaryota; kingdom Metazoa; phylum Chordata; class Mammalia; order Primates; family Hominidae; genus Homo; species Homo sapiens. The sequence continues at coordinate 68,825,159 of NC_000006.12, read as the reverse complement.
ATTGGCGGGGCACAGTGGCTCAAGTCTGTAATCTCAGCACTTCAGGAGGCAGAGGCGGGTTGATCACCTGACGTCAGGAATTCGAAGCCAGCCTAACCATGGTGAAACCCCGTCTCTACTAAAAATACAAAAAGAAAATTAGCCGGATGTGGTGGCATGCACCTGAAGTCCCAGCTACTCCTGAGGCTGACACAGGAGAATTTCTTTGAACCCGGGAGGCGGAGGTTGCCGTGAGGGAGATCGCGCCACTGCACTCCAGCTTGGGCGACAGAGTGATACTCTGTCTCAAAAAGAAAAAGGAGGTTCAGATTATAGATTTACTGGATGCACATTATAACATAAATATTTTTAAATGATAGAATACATAAAATAAATGTAAATATGTGAAAGCAACAAGATACTATAAAAAAAGATGAGACAGAAGATTAGGGGGAAAAATTCCCAGAAGAACAGATACAAATATTTTCAAAGACTGTGGTGGTGGTTGCATGATTACACATATATATTTATAATATATAACACATATATAATATATTATATATTATGATATATAATATTGCATGATTATACATATGTATTACATATATTGCATATTGTGCTATATTATATGTATAATCATGAAATATGTATAATATATATTATATGTATAGGAAATATATAAATATCCGATGAATTGTACCCTTGAAGTCACTGAAATTAATTTTATGTAAATATGTATGTATTTATATGTAAATATATCTAAATACATTATATATTTATGTAAATTATACCTTAGTAAAGATAACTGTAATATTTTATAGAAAGTGAAACATAATCATTATAATTTAAAATGCAATTGATGGTAAAAACAGTGGATTAGATCTGACATGAAGAGTACTGACCTAAAAGACAAAACTAAATCAAAACTCTTCACAGAGATATAAAGAAATAGAAATAAAAGTTTAAGAGACATGGCAAATAGAATAAGTCTCATCTAGATCTAATATAAGTTTCATGGTCATAAAATAGATACAATGCACCTGGGACATATTCAAAGTGAAAATAGATAAAATTTCCCAGAATTGATGAAGGACATGCCTCAGATTCAGGAATCACTAACCAGACAAGAGTAAGCACAAGTGAGACAAATATGAAGAATTCCACAGCGATGCACGTAGCAGTAAATCTTCAGCATACCAGGGCAATGTTAAAAATTGTTGAAGAATAAATAAAAACTGAAGTTCTCAGAAAAAATAACGGAATGGAATACTTAACTAAATTATTATTCAACAATGAGATAATTACTATGACATTTTTATACAAACCAGACAAAGTTTATAGATATTCACCGATGACACTTTTAACTTGAAGGAAGAATTTTTATGCAAGAAGCAATGATTATTTAGCTTAATAAAGCTATTGAACTTCATTTATTATTTTATAACATGACCCCCATATTCTAAGTATCTTTTGAACCATCTACTAGCACCATCTAACAGAGTATATCATGCATGAGTCATTTTGCATCAAGATTGTTAGTCACTGACTTGATTATTAACCAAAATAGAACAGTTCTAAGACATCTTTCCATGAGCAAATGGAAAAAACATCCATGACAGAAAAATATCATTCGTATTTATCATGTTTTATGTCTGAAACATGAAGGAAATAAAACATATTATCTTCTGCATTACCTTAGTAAGCATTTACATTGTTATAATAAATAATAGAATATTAGTATCTATTTAGTTATTGATCAATCAATATATGTATCTATCTATGTATCTACTTACCATCTAGTCTGTCAGTTCCCAAAACATATGATGGGAAACCTTGTTGTAACATTTTTACATTTTTTTAAGTAAATTCAATTTTTCTATCATAAAAGCATTGTTTTCTCATTCAAAATATAAAAATAGCAAATGTACAGAAAAGTATGACAAGTGTTCCTACTAGCCTTGTTTTATTTTTTCCTATGCCCAATTTTTTAAATATCATGATCCTACTGACTATAGAATTTCTTTGTTCTAAACCTTTCAATTAACATTATTAGTACCTTTACCAAGCATCTTTTAGTGGCTACATAATATTCCACAGTGTGAATGTACAAAATTTTCCTTCCTTTCCTGTGTAGATGTCTTCTGCTGCTGTGAATTATTTGAAAGTAGCAATCATCTTTGTGCTTGAAACTTCTTGTGCTTTATGTTTATTTCTGCCATCTACATTCCTAGAAGTGAAATGACACATTCTTTAGCTTGGAAATTAATCTCTAGCTTGTAGGATGTAAAAGGAAAATATTCTTCCAAAGATTCTTAACTGAATTGCAGCAAAGCCTTTGGAAATTGCCACTAACATTCATGACTAGAGAATCATTGAATCCCGAATCTAAAATGAAGTGGCTCATAAAATTTTTGAATGACGATTTCTATTTCTTAAGATCACTACAGAGTTTCTGAAGCTATAGTAAAAGGCTTTAAAACTGAAGCTTTACATGAAAGATTTTTAAAAATCTGAATGTTGAGCTATAGTCCTTTGCTATGTGAGATTTGGTGATTCAAATAGATATCAGGTGGACCTTGAATGGTAGCTTTTGAATTCTAATAAGAAAAGGTGCTAAACAATAGGAATACTGGCCTTCAGAGAACACAATAACTCTATTTGAAGACAGCTTTTAAGCTACTCTTACTATGACAATGCATCTCAAATATATAAAATAATAGGTATTTCAAGTGGAACAAAATATGAGAAAAGGAGGATGTAGCCAAAACAGAAATAGATTCTCACCAGACTGCTTTTGATCACTGTGTTTTGATAAAATCTAGACCTGTATGCATCAAATTATAAATAGTTATTTTCCTTTCACCCTAATTTCCTATTTTTAGGCCTTCTCAATAATTTTATTATTCTTCACTTTTGGAGTTATGGGATTGCCTACATAAAAAGCTATATATTAAATTGTTTTATATTTGTAGGAACATATTTGAGATTAGTCTGTCTTCTCTTTATTTTCCGAATGTCATCCGCTTTCTTTTTACTCATTTCATAGGCACATACATATCTAGGAGGAACAGTAGAGCAACAGTCTTGAGGGCACTGAATTTGGGCCTAGGCTTACTGAATTTGATTGTACCAACTCTTACCTACTAGCTGTATAACTTAGGACAATTTATATAAACTCTGGATGCTTCAGGTTCTTCTTACGTAAATACAAATAATAATAGTACCTACCTCCGTGGATTTTGTAAAATATTAAATGAATTAATATCCTTCTGAATAACAGTGTCAAACGCATACTATGTATAATACACATTTTAAGTAGTATTATATTTGGTTTTGCAAATTTCCAGTTGCATCATGGAACTAAATCCTTTTATTTCTTAATAAAATACATGTAAGAAATGTGTAAATAAATTAATTAATACCACAAAAGTTTAAATAGAACAATGCAGCTTTGCTACCAGATGAGTTTATTAAAATTAAAAATTCTTTTCCAAGCCCTTCAGATTTATATGACACTATGCAAGAAAGACTAAAAAAAAAAGAGGCAAATTATACGCATGATCCATTTCACTCAAAACTCAAATTTTTTTTTTATAGAAACAAATAATAAACAAGTGAGGCCATTAAGGAATGCCACTGCAAAATATGTTACCAAGTGGCAAAATGAGACCAGTGTCAATTAGAGACAACTTTTGACTAACATTAGCACTTAAGCAATATGTATATTAATTAGGATGTCTTTGAATGTATGTTGCTTATTCTGTTTGATAAGTGAGAGTAGTGTACAGTGGAATAAGCATTGCAAGGATAGAAGAAAAAGTAAAATCTACATTGTACTTATGTAAAGTAATTTACGCTTATGTAAAATCCCTGACTTTTTGCTGTTTTTAGACTGAAGTGATGATAAAAATAATTATGCAAATAAACATAGAATATGAAAAGCAATAATATAACTGCTGCAAGACATGGTAAAAACAAAGAAGTAAGAGCTTCAAAGTTGTTTATTTGATTAATATTTATAAAGTATTTTCTATGTCCTGTTATTAAGGTATTTGGCTTATATGAAAACAAACTGGCAAAAATCCTTGTTTTCTGAAGTTTCATTTTTATTAAGGTACAAAATTTACATCCTGGGTAAACGATTGGTAAGAAACTCCTAAGGAAGGTGACATTTGAAGGGGGCCTTGAATAACAGACCAGACCTGTCAAGGACGGCTTTGTGCTCTTTTCTGTACTTCATGTTACTGACACAGTGTATATGACTTTTTGAATATTATCTGTCTCTTTGTCTAGACCAGAGGGACAATAGGACATGGTCTTTGTTTTGTTATAACATTCTATTCTATTCTCAGTATCCAGAACTATTCCAGGCACACAAAAGATTCTAAAAAAGTTTGTTAAATAAGCGGACAAGTAGCAAGTAAAAATATACATGCATGCATACTCTTACTCATTTGTGGGAGCTAAAAACTAAAACGAACTTACTGAGATAGAGAGTAGAATGATGGTTACCAGAGGCTGGGAAGGACGGTGGAGGGAGAGAGAAGCGGGGATGGTTAATGGCTACAAAAATATATTTAGATAGAATAAATAAGAGCTAGTATTTGATATTCACAACAGGATGACTATAGTCAAAATAATTTATTGTATATTTCAAAATAACTAAAAGAGTGCAATTTGAATGTCCTTAATACAAAGAAATGGTAAATGCTTGAGGTGATGGATATCTCACTTACCCTGGTGTGACCGTTACACATTCTCCATCTGTATCAAAACATTGCATATTCCCCATAAATACATATACGTATATGTCTACTATATACTCTTAAAAATTAAAGAAAAACTAAATTAACAAAAGAAAAATTAGTGTAATGAAGGTAGAAAGAAAGGCAGAAAGTGCTGGAGAGAGGGAGGGAGAAAGAAAATTATTTTAATAAATTATAACAGTGGAAGGAGAGTTTTGTAAAGAGAGAAAACATGAGCAAGTGCAGTGAGATATGTATAGATGTAATCAAGTTAATTGGTCTAAATACAGGTAATATGGAGGTGAGTACCCAGTAGAAGGTAGATCAGAGTGTTTCTGTGGAGGGCCTTGGGTACCAGGTCGATGCAGAAGGCAATGGAAGCTACTTTGAGGAAAAAATACAATCAGTACGAATATTTAGTAAGTCTACTTGGGCAGAGACATAGGCAAGATTGGGATAGAAAAAGAGATTATGTGGAACCAATGATAAGGTTATTTAAAATAGCTCAGGCTAATGGAAATAAAAGTATTTGATGATATTCGGGGAAATAAGATGTAACTTTTAAAAAAATCATGGATGAAACTTCCACAGCACAAAGCAGACGAACAGCAAAATAAAAGAGAAGATTTACAAAGTGGTTGTTTTTTAATTTAACTCTTTTATCTATTTTGTTTATCTGTATACAATTTTATCTATTTCTTATCTATTTTTATCAATTTTAACTATTATCTATCAACAGGGTGAGAATAAAAGAAGAAGTACATTTCCATGGGGAAATAGTAAGTTTTGCCTTGGAACTTTGGACTTTGAGGTGTGCACTGGTACTTCCAGGAAGAAATACTCCGCAGCAGCTGCATATATATGTAAGATGTCAGTCCTACATATAGAGATTTGAGATTCATGTCCCTAGAGGTATCAATCGTACTCAATTTATGGGAATGAATGAATCAAGGGAGTTTGAAAGAGAGCACTCATCTGAGCATGTAATCTAGTTGCAGACAAAAGAAGAAAGGCAGGCTAATAAAGAAGACACAGAATGGAGGGGCAATGCAAGATAGTACAGAGGAGTTCAAGAACATGTGTATGGTGGAAAGGTGCCATAAAACATACCAAATAGTGCAGAGAGATTGAGGAGGAGAGCGATGAGAAATGGTCAGGCAGTCAGATGGTGGCTGCAATAAGAATGGGCAGTTTCAATGGAGTGAAAAGGGTGAGAACCAGATTATTAAAGGGGTGTGTGAGTGTGATGGAGGATACATCTAACTAACAAGCAACTAGTTATAAATGAGGATAGGTGCATATCATTGCTTTCATATATAAAGGTGAAAAAATAAAAGGTGTATTTATATACTAAAGGCTGGATAATTTTCTCCGTGGAATAAACAATATTCCATTCATTTAACCATTGTTGCTGCAACAGATGACAGCTGTAAAATTTCAAGTTAAAGAAGCATCTGCCATGTGCATTGTTCCTTTCAGTTCAAATGTTACACAGTGAAACATGTACTTATCAATCTTTCATAGAAATACTGAAGATTCCTTTGAAATTGATCTTTCCTCAGGGAGTTGCTTTTCTTTCTGAATTTGAAAGAGAGAAAGACTACAAGATTAAATAGAAAATAGAGTTGCTTTCTCGTCCTTGAATTTTCTGTATTTCAGATTTTTGTATTGGCAAAATATAATAACATTTCTTTGGGACTATCTAAGGATAAGAAGCTTGGATAGTTCATTTTGGAACTGTACATAATTAGAGCTGCATGTGATAAATAATTAAAACCACATTTTTGTGGGAGAAAAAATGAGATTCAGAAAACTTTTGAGGGCACAAGATTATATTGCTAGTAAGATACAGCCAGAATAGCACCTTTTTTCCCCCTTTCCAATAAAAATTCATGCTAGTTAAACCACTAAATCTAAATGAAAATTTCCTTCTCAGTATTTCTTACCACACCAAGCTGTTTCATTCTTCAACATTGCTTTCATATATCACACCAGACTGGATGGAGGGTTGGGAAGGGGAAAGGAAGGAAAGCAGATCTTGAGGATCTGCTGTGTGCCAGGCATAGTGCTAAATGCTTTCAGCTCTGGGATCCCTCAATCCTCATTAATGGAGGTGGGCAATGAGCATCCTTATGAAAGTATAGTGACGTTAAAAGTGCAAGCAAATAAACTGTATCTAACTCTCAAGTCTATGGCTTGTTTTCCCGCATAATTAAAGGAGAGTCTACAGGTGGAGAAGGCGGTGCGCACATAGAACCATGCATGTGGTTTACATTCTTTCTGCTCTACCAGCCTGTGTTCTTTGAGCTTCTCAGCTAATATAGCAAACTGAGATGGATTTGGTCCCAGCTACAAGAACCTAAAGCCACTTTATTCACTGAACTTTGGTGGCTTGAAAAAACACAAAAAACAAAGTAACTCACTTTCACTTCTATCCCATTTCACCACAACTTACAGATGTATTTCTCAATTTCGTCAATCAAGTGTTTCTAAAATGATGCAAATCACAACACTAAATATGTAAACTATGAACACAAGTTATTTTACAGAAATGAGCAAGAAGCTGGCAAGAAAAATGGTGAAAAGAGATCATTAATTTTTTCTCAAAATTCTACCATACAAGTTTTCTACATGTACAATACCACTGTTTTTAGTTGCCCCTACGCTACTCACAAATGCAATTTGGCTTGAAAAACAGTAAGAAATACAATGATAGCTATAATTTATTGAGGGCTTATCATGGGTGCTTGGTACTATCATAGATATTTTTACCAAATCTTACAACAACCTTACAGATTATTACAAGACTGCTTTTACAGAGGCATTTGGTTGTTGCTGGGGTTTCACTAGATATGTTCTATGCATGAGTGCTTGTAACACTTTCACTGAAAAGTACTATTTTAGCATTCTAGTGGCATACTACATTAAACCATTAAACAGGCTTTTATACTTTACAGGAGTACCAGGTGGTAAAGAGTGCTTAGATGTGAAAAAAAACTAGATATCTAATGAATATCATAAGTAATAAAACTCATGCCTTAAAGTCATGCCTTTTAAAAGAAACAGTCAGAAATTATATATATATATATATATATATATATATATATATATATATATATATATATATACATGGACAAAAGGGAATAATAAATACCTTTTCACTATTAATTAATTCAGAATTGATAAAACAGGCCCTTGATTATTGGTATTTATGTCAAGCAGGATACAGAGTTTTTCTTCTACACATTCATTCTACAAACACTTGTATTTATAAAATACCAGCAATGGCCAGGCATAGGGTGCTGGTGCTGAGTAAGTCCCTGAGGAATACAGAGGCCAATAACAGATGTTTCTACACTCAGGAATTTTGGTCTAGCAGGGAAGAAGGGCATGAAATACAAGTTTATATTATAAAAAATACCAAATGTTGTGAAGATTAAACCTGGGGGTTGGCTTAACAAGTCTGTTTATGACAGGACATTTTCTCTACATATTTCCCAAGTAATAGTTGGGAGAATAGCACCTAGTAGATTTATATTAGATTAGTGGATTCCCAGCAAGAAGTCTGGAGAGACAAAATGGAATAGAATCCATTAAAAGGAATTTTAAAAGCACAAAGATTTCCTGATTTGCCCATTTACTTAGGATTGGATCCAGGTTTTCATTTGCTTGTTTCTTATTTTTTTTCTTTTTCTCATTAATTATAACCTTTGTGTGACTATATTAATAATTTTAAGGCAAAGTAAAGAGAAGGAATCAAACATCTAGTGTATTAGAAAAGGTAGCTTGGGAGCCAGTGTGACTACATTAATAATTTTAAGGCAAAGTAAAGAGAAGGAATCAAACATCTATTAGAAAAGGTAGCTTGGGAGCCAAAGGCATTTAGAGAAAGATAAATTTATATTTGTTTCATAAATAAGAACTTGTAAATCAAACTACCAAACTAATTAGAATAAGGAGAAAAAAGCTCTTCTCTTTAATCTAGTTGTCATTAATATTGCAGAAATTATTTTTGCACCCCTGTAGAGCTAATTACAAATCAATTTTATATAATTAGTTATAAATACTCAGTTATATTTTCTAATAACTCTACATTTAACAGTGTCATAACTCAGTACAGATTCTTAATCATTTTCATGATAATAAATAATGATAATTTTTATTCCAATAAGCATTGGCTACTTGTTCCAAACTAAATATTTGTAGGTTTCAGATTCAGTGTATCTCATATACGGATCAGTGCTTATATTAATTATTCAAAGTAAACGTAATTTATTTTTAAATTTGAAATTAACAAAATAATATTATTTCCCTTTCATATAATATCAACTAATTTTTATTCTTCCAAATAGAAGTTTTTGTCCACTGTATTTAATTTTATTTGATCTTTAACTTAATTCCATTCTTCTTCCAGGAGTGGATGCTTGTTTGATTTCTTTGGGACCTTTGAAAACTAAAGACAGAAGAAAGTATGTTGTAAGATACCTTCCCCATATCTGCCTATACTACTGAGGATTTTCATTTAAGATATAAAGTTTTATTAAAACCAGTGTAAAATCAAAAATACATATGTCCCAACAAATAAAAAAAAGAAGCTGAAATATCCTGAATGAATCCTAAAGCAATGCAAATATTAAAATTATGTTGAATATTTTTGTTTATCTTTAATATAAATTTATTTCGTGCAATTGTGTATGTAAAATGTATTGAAGGCCAATGATTTTTTGCTTTGGCTGAGTTTCAAAATTCAGAAATAGTTTTTGTGTAACTATTACATCAAATGAGATCTACATGCACACACACACACACACACACACACACACACACACACAATTTTTGATGGTCAAATCAAATTACTCTGGTTATCTTGAAAGTTGAATGTTCACTACTAAAAGTATACCTGGATTATCAAAAATTATATTAAGATAATAAATTCTCCCTTTGGGATGTTAATAATAAGGGCCTCCTAGAGAATCTAACTCAATAAATTTACCAAAAGACTGTTTGACTTCTTTCATAAATGTTAGACAATTTTGGTTTACTTTGACAACTTCAGCCTGCTGACTAATCACGTCAATACTGTAATTACCTTATATAAGAATTCAAAACTAAATAAGGCCATCTTTTGAGATTCAGTATTTAGTTTGTGAGTACTATAAACAAAGGAAAAGGTTTAGAACTGCAGTTTAAATTCTTATTTAAACTCCCCATTGAACACTCAAAGAAAGCAGCTGAGTAGGAGCCGCGAAGGACTGGGAAACTAACTGCCTTGAAACAAAGCATTCCTGCCTGATTGCCCTGGCCAGAACTCCCAACACGATGTTGAATAGGAGTGGTGAGAGAGGGCATCCCTGTCTTGTGTCAGTTTTCAAGGGGAATGCTTCCAGTTTTTGCCCATTCAAGTATGATATTGGCTGTGGGTTTGACATAGATAGCTCTTATTATTTTGAGATACGTCCCATCAATACCGAATTTATTGAGAGTTTTTAGCATGAAGAGTTGTTGAATTTTGTCAAAGGCCTTTTCTGCATCTATTGAGATAATCATGTGGTTTTTGTCGTTGGTTCTGATTATATGCTGGATTACATTTATTGATTTTCGTATGTTGAAACAGCCTTGCATCCCAGGGATGAAGCCCACTTGATCAAGGTGGATAAGCTTTTTGATGTGCTGCTGGATTCGGTTTGCCAGTATTTTATTAAGGATTTTTGCATCGATGTTCATCAGGGATATTGGTCTAAAATTCTCTTGTTTTGTTGTGTCTCTGCCAGGCTTTGGTATCAGAATGTTGCTGGCCTCAGGACATAGGCATGGGCAAGGACTTCATGTATAAAACACCAAAAGCAATGGCAACAAAAGCCAAAATTGACAAATGGGATCTAATTAAACTGAAGAGCTTCTGCACAGCAAAAGAAACTACCATCAGAGTGAACAGGCAACCTACAGAATGGGAGAAACTTTTTGCAGTCTACTCATCTGACAAAGGGCTAATATCCAGAATCTACAAACAAATTTACAAGAAAAAAACAAACAACACCATCAAAAAGTGGGTGAAGGATATGAACAGACACTTCTCAAAAGAAGACATTTATGCAGCCAAAAGACACATGAAAAGATGCTCATCATCACTGGCCATCAGAGAAATGCAAATCAAAAGCACAATGAGATACCATCTCACACCAGTTAGAATGGCAATCATTAAAAAGTCAGGAAACAACAGGTGCCGGAGAGGATGTGGAGAAATAGGAACACTTCTACACTGTTGGTGGGACTGTAAACTAGTTCAACCATTGTGGAAGTCAGTGTGGCGATTCCTCAGGGATCTAGAAGTAGAAATACCATTTGACCCAGCCATCCCATTACTGGGTATATACCCAAAGGATTATAAATCATGCTGCTATAAAGACACATGCACACGTAGGTTTATTGTGGCACTATTCACAATAGCAAAGACTTAGAATGAACCCAAATGTCCAACAATGATAGACTGGATTAAGAAAATGTGGCACATATACACCATGGAATACTATGCAGCCATAAAAAAGGATGAGTTCATGTCCTTTGTAGGGACATAGATGAAGCTGGAAACCATCATTCTCAGCAAACTATCGCAAGGACAAAAAACCAAACACTGCATGTTCTCACTCACAGGTGGGAATCGAACAATGAGAACACATGGACACAGGAAGGGGAACATCACACACCGGGGCCTGTTGTGGGATGAGGGGAGTGGGGAGGGATAGCATTAGGAGATATACCTAATGCTAAATGACAAGTTAATGGGTGCGGCACACCAACATGGCACACGTATACATATGTAACAAACCTGCACGTTGTGCACATGTACCCTAAAACTTAAAAAAAAAAAAGCATTCCATTATTCATAATAAGTCAAATTCCTTTCACTGTTCCTGCATGCTCTAAGTTAATGTGAGCCTACATACTTGCTACAGGTAATATTAGGTCTAATATGTTATTTTTTAAAGCTGGTTTGTTACTGTTACTATTAACGTATTTAGCTAACACTTGCAAGCCCAATGTAGCCCAGTGAGTACAAAAATAGTGTGAGATCTTGAGGATTCTGTATCAGTCCGTTTTCATGCTACTGATAAAGACATACCTGAGACTGGGAAGCAAAGGAGGTTTAATTTGACTTACAGTTCCAAATGGCTGGGGAGGCCTCACAATCATGGCAGAGGGTCAAAGGCACTTCTTACATGGCAGCCACAAGAGAGAATGAGGAAGAGGCAAAAGTGGAAACCGCTGATAAACCCATTAGATCTCGTGAGACTTATTTACTATCACAAGAATAGCATGGGAAAGACAGGCCCCCATGATTCAATGACCTCCCCCTGGGTCCCTCCCACAACACGTGGGAATTCTGGGAGATACACTTCACGTTGAGATTTGAAAAGGGACACAGCCAAACCATATCAGATTCAAAGAACATTAAAATTCCTAAAGTTCAAACCATCATTCTCAGCAAACTAACACAAAGACAGAAAACCAAATACCACATGTTCTCACTCATAACTGGGAGTTTAACAATGAGAACACATGGACACAGGGAGGGGAACATCACACACTGGGGCCTGTGGGGGGTTGGGGGGCTAGGGGAGGGATAGCATTAGGAGAAATACCTAATGTAGATGACGGGTTGATGGGTGCAGCAAACCACCATGGCACGTGTATAACTATGTAACAAACCTGCACGTTCTGCACATGTACCCCAGAATTTAAAGTATAAGAAAAAGAAAAAAAAAAGAACTTACAGTAGCAATCTTTGTACATTAGTAGAAGCAACATTCACAGTTAATCACCTAATAAATCAAACTGTTGTGAGAATAAGTCCTCACATTTTATATATATCACTGTCTAGTACAGTCATCCCCACAGGAAATGGTAACATTAGCAAGGCACAATGGATACATAACTAAGAGAGTGTTACTATTATCTATAAAGTATTATTAAAACACTTAAATTCTTCTGTTACAATTGGCAAGTCATATAATTATCTAATGTAAAAAAGTACTTAAGCTCCCTGAAATACACATATTCAAAAGTGGGTTTCCTTTAAAAATGTTAACTCAGAAATAAAAAAAAAGATATATTAAACTATCCTTAATCACAATGAATAATGTAAATATTTCTATTATCCATCACCTCTCTACCACCTACAGGATAAATTTCAAACTATCTTAGCCTGGCATTTCAAGCTCTTTATAAATGGGTCACACCCACATATACACTTCTTATATTAGGCCTCTGCAGTAATCAGGTTAATCTACTCATCGACTCAGTGTCTCCTAAGAACACATTACATACCACAAACTTAGGCTTTTACTCATGCCTTTCTCTTTGCACCTCTGTGACCCTGTTCAAATTCTGAGAATCATAAAAGTTCTGGTTAAATAATTCTAATGTGGCATTATAGTCTTGTCTTCATCTACTACAACTAAAAACTCTGTGTTCTCTACCTCACTAAATCTTTAGGGTATTTTCTGGTTTGATCACATTTTCATATATTTAAAAATGTATTAATTGTGTGTATATAAGTGTATATGTATCTATCTATATCTCTCTATCATATGACACTTCTCCCACGACATCTAGAAAGTACATGTCCATTCAGATGTTCTGTATTTGCTTTAAGAATCATCCACCTCGGCTGGTCACGGTGGCTGATGCCTGTAATCCCAGCACTCTGAGAGCCCAAAGCGGGTGGATCATTTGAGACCAGGAGTTTGAGACCAGCCTGGCCAACATGGTGAAACCCTGTCTCTACTAAAAATACAAAAAATTAGCCAGGCATGGTGGTGTATGCCTGTAATTCCAGCTACTTGGGAGGTTGAAGTAGAAGAATTGCTTGAACATGGGAGGCAGAGGCTGCAATGAGCCGAGATCATCCCACCGCACTCCAGCCTGGGCAGCAGAGTGAGACTCTGTCTCAAACAAACAAACAAACGAACCCCAAGAATCATCTACCTCATTAATTTGGCCTGACAGAATAGTGCAATGTTAAGTAATAAAAATAAAATAACATGAAATATAAACCTTATTTTTGTTATCATATTGCTTATGTTATATATAAACTTAGGTACTTTTGTTTGTTTGAATATGCATGTAGAAATCTCAATGGATTTATACAGAAAAAACAAGTGCCTAAGAATTAAAATGTCATCTCAAATGATTACCATAATGATAAAAACTGTGGCTTAAAAAATAGAAGTAGAAATAGATATTAAGTCAATATCAAGGTAGTGTATAGTGGGTATGTTCAGGCATTAAAATCAATTGACTCTGAAGTACAATGGGTTTGTATGTTTTTAATCAACTTTGGAAGACTATATATATATATATCTCCTCATAAAACCATAGGGTAAACAATTTTTAACAATGAAGCCACATAGTTGTTCTTTATGTTAAATAATCAAAAAGCATGTTTCAAATTCATAAAGCAGATGAGTTTTTATATCACTTTATATCATTTTATATCATTTAAAAATGTATTTCCTAATTACTTGCAAGTTTAGCAAATAATACTGCTACTTTTTATTTTTACCAAATCCTTCTACCAGTGTCCATTGCCTTGTGTTTTAAAGATACACTCATAATTATTTTTCCTATTTTTCTTGCTCTAATAATTTTCTTTCTACCCCAAACATGCTTCATATTTCACTTTTTTATATTATTTTTCTAATTATGCTTTTTCATTTTTATTTACTTTTAACCTCATTGTGACCTAATTGTTGTCTATCTCACCACCATGTATTTTGTATTTTTCTTATCTCATGCATTGTGCAACCATAAAGAACACTCAAAATCGTCTACCTCAAACCACTTCTCAAAGGAGAAAACTAAGACCTGGAAAGATCCGTTGACTTCCTCTGATTCAAAGAAGTTACTGACATTGCTGACTAGAAGCCAGCCTCCTAAGTTTCACCACAGTGGTTTTCTACTATTTCATCTGTTCGCTCAGCCTCAACAACGACTGAACCATATTTTGAAAAGCACCTACTTTGTGGTAGGCCTTGTCCAGGATAGGTAGTTCACCAAAGGTCTGGCCATTGTTGATAGTGTCCAGGGCAATGGTTCTCATTTGGGTTGGGGTTGGTGGTGATTGTTTCCAGAAGGATTTGTGGAATACTTTAAATTATAGACTTTATTCCATTTTTAAGGATTATGACATATCTCACTTCCGAAAGGAATCACAGCTTCCCAAAGCAGCCACTCCTGGTCAATACCAGGAGTAAAGTAGCTGTTGATCACTTATCAACTGAGCAATTTCCCATTTATGTTCATATATAATAACAAAGGCAGCAACAACAGCAACAGTAAGAAAATGAAATCAGTGAAATGTCAGGAAAAGTCAAATATTAACATCTTTGGATACCCATGAGGAAGTTAAAACCTCTAAAACATATGGTATTACCAGGAACCCACAAAATGCTCTTACTCCAAAGCTTAGAGCACTTTTGCAGAAAAGTAAAAATGAACTTTTCACTAAATAATGTATGCTAAAATATGTATTTTCTGACATTAAATTTTCAGTGACTTGGAAAGAACTGTCTTGATTTGCATAATATACTTGTGTTGTAATTCAGCTTTACGTATTGGAGAGAAAAAAGGCAGAGACTAATATGTTTTTACCACAAATTAAAATGCACATGTTAAAAAGAGATCCACAGGACCTGTGTTTTTTCATTAATAATTAATCACTTTTTCATCAATATTGGCAATTTTTTAAAATGAAGGAAATACAAAATCAGTACTTGACCTTGGGGATTGTGAACTCATGTCTTGCTTTTCCTATGCTAAGTTTTTCACTAGACAAAAATCTTATTTAAACTATGTAAGTAGAGAAACATGTTTATAATCTCAGAAGACATAAAGAAAGCATGTCCCAAGATACATGCTTTTTATAATTTTAGGAAAACCACTATTAACAATAATCAAATCAGCCACCATTGTCTATTATTTAGATTGTACTTGCAATATTTGCCTGGGCAAAATACATTCCAACATCGATAGATTTATAGTAAATATGTTGGCATGCAAACTTTTTGGTATTCAAATTCTCAAAATAATTTGTGTGCTTCAGTAATTTACAGAAAGGTTATACCTATGCACCTTAATTATTTTATTACTTGAACCTTCATCACATTATCTCTGAAAAAAATACTCTGTAAGAAAAACAAATGCACCTTTCAACAGCAGTGAACAGAACAGAGTGAGTACGTCCTCTGCAGGTTTTGCTTTCCAATGTGTGCTCTAGAAACGTTTATTTATTTAGAATGCTCTCAGAATGTATATACTTCATAATCTTTAATGACAATCCATAATGCAAAAAAATTTTTTTTAAACCAGCACAATTAAAAAAATCAGGCCAGGGTTTGGAATGTTCAAATAACTTTACACTTTAATATATTTTAAATTTCAGGGGGCACAAAATTCATCTTTGTTGCTACTGAAGAATACAGATCCCTGAGCCCCATCCCAAAGGACTCTGACTTGGTATATATGAGGCAATATGCAGAAATCTACTTTTAACAACACGCAGTGTTACTCTTTTACAGGTGGTCTTCTGACCATGGTAGATACTTTTCTGATAACAGCTGGTTATGCAAAGGCCTTCATTCACTTAGTAATCTTTATTTTTCTTTCTCCCACTCACTCTCTCCCCCTTTTTTCCTCCTCCTTTTTTCTCTCCTCCTCTTCTTTCCTTATGATATCTACCATTGAATATATACAGAATGTACTTGCTATGAGTTATCTTGTGTAGTATTTCTTGGATTTTTCAAAACATTCTAAGAGATAGTATGAAATGTGTAATGATTATATCTGAAATTTAATTTGGTGTTTCCATTTTATCCATTCATAGCATACTATTTATGTACAAATCAGTTTTATGAAAAAATATACAATTGGTAGTGTATTGAAAATGGATTAGATTTGAAAATAACTGAAACATAGTAAATGTATAGTTAGAGGTAGCAAAAAAAAAAAAAAGGTCTTGAAAAGTGAGGTTTGCTTTTTTCCCCCTTCTTATTGGAGTAAAGAGGTAACAAGCCTGTGAGTCCGAGAACTGTTCCGATGGTATCTGAGGGAGAAGAAAAATCACTACTTTGTATTCAGCTGATAAGGTGGTGGATGATATTACCAAAACATGATGATGATATTACTTCTCTTATTGATTATACATTTGACATCACTAAATACCAGATCAGAATCTATTGTGTAGGAACATTTATCTATTGTAAAATAAAAAAAGGAACAATCTATTGTGTAAGAAGATTTATCCATTGTAAAATAAAAATAATTTTATTTGTCTTTATTTTTTCAGGAGTAAGAGGAAATTGGATCCATTTGACCTGGAAATATTCCTATTGAACTAATTTTACAAATATTTTAGTCCTTTCTTAAAGGCATAACAAAGTTATTGTAAAAAGATATTAAAGTTAGGAAAGTCATCTCTGAAGTGAGACACCCTGGGAAAAAAATTAAGTTAGGAAAACCAAATGGGATTTAAATACGTAATAAATGTTTTCTTATCTCCCAGTTCATTAAATTCTCTACAGTATTAACTAACTGATGATAAATTTAACCAACTGAGCTATTCTCTGTGGTTCTACTTATAAAGTGGCATAGTATCTCCTAGAAAAAAATAAGAAAAGTATTTTTTCACAGTTTTTTTAGTTCTCACTTAAGTATAATATATGTAAACATTTTCAAATGCTTAATTTGAAATAAGTATATCTGTAAGCTACTGATAATTGGAATGAGACTGCCTATGTATCATTATCGTACTGCTTCTATTTTTATGTTGGAATTTATGATCAAGTGACAAGCAGAAAACATATCACTCATCACTGTCGTGTTAACAAAAATTAACATCCGGCCAGGCGCGGTGGCTCACGCCTGTAATCTCAGCACTTTGGGAGGCTGAGGCGGGGAAATCACGAGGTCAGGAGATCGAGACCATCCTGGCTAACACGGTGAAACCCCGTCTCTACTAAAAATACAAACAAAATTACCCGGGCAAGGTGGGGGGCGCCTGTAGTCCCAGCTACTCGGGAGGCTGAGGTAGGAGAATGGCGTGAACCCCGCGGGGCGGAGCCTGCAGTGAGCTGAGATCGCGCCACACTGCACTCCAACCTGGGCGATAGCGAGACTCTGTCTCAAAAAAAAAAAAAAAAAAAAGAAAAAAGAAAAAAGAAAAAGAAAAATTAACATCCATTTTAATGTGATATAGAAGGAATATATTCAATAAAACCATTATCTCACATTCCCTATAACTAAAATTGGGCTTTACTTGAATAAGATATTTTGTAACCGGTTTACAAATTCGGTAATTCATGCAAATAAGTACTTCAAAAATATTTTTAAAAGTTAAGTTGTGTTACATCATTGCTGTTGGCAATATAACTTTGCATAACCTTTTCTTGAAGTTATCCAGCCCATACGTATCAAAGCCTTAAAGATATGCATACCTTTAACACATGTTTAAGAATTTATCCGAGGTTTCTGACAAGGCAACTGTGTAACAATATGAATGCTTATGGTAGCATTGCTAAAACTGCAACAAAGTAAATATATTCTAAAAGTTGAGTATAGGAACTACTCTAAAATTATGGTATATATTCCAACAGTCCAAAAAGGTAATACCATGCAGATAACTCTACTGTATATTTAAGAAGAGTGTCATATATACTTTTAATAAAATTTCTCATTGTAAAATACATATTCTTATTATGTGTTATACGGTCACATTAAAATATTTACTTAATATATATTTATATTCACATATTTATATAAAAATCAGAAAGAAAAATAGCTAGATATTTAAAATGTTCAAGAGATGCTTCAACATATTAACAGTTATTGTCTCTGAGAAGGGGAATTATAAGTACTTTTTCTTTTTAATTCAATTGCTTGCTGATTTATAGCTTTATAATTAACTCAAGAAATGTTTTTCAATAAATAAGTGAATAATAATCAGAGTATTATGTAAATTTTAGACTGTCAAATCTCTAGACCATTATATAACCATTAAAAAGAATTTAAAATATTTTAACAACTGAGACAATTCTGTCTGGCAATATGTGAATACACAGAATACAAAATTGTAAGATATGTTAAGATTTCAGCTTAGTGTTATAAAAGTTATCTGGAATGGAGCATGAAGAGTAAATCTCAGTGACTTACTACATTCTGGAATTATTAGAGGTTATTGTTTTTATCTTGTTTGCTTTGTATTTTAAAAATATTATCAAACCATCTTAATCAAACCATTTACCTTCTTGCCTGAATTTCACACATTCAATAGTTGTTTATTTCTAAACATCTGGTAAATGAGTGAGATCCCTATTGACTACAAAGGGAGAATGTTGGCTGTGACTACGTGAGCCACAGTATTCAGATTAAAAGTTAACAAGTGCAATCACATGGTATGTTATGCCTCCAGGCAATGCTATAATGACTGTATATATATTTTAAGACAAAAATAAATTCTTGGGAGTTAAAAATTCATGCATCTTAACTTTTTAATACATTGTGTTGTATCAAATATTAAACATTTATTTGCAAACACCCTTATAATCCTAAAACTACATAGGAAATATAATGGAATAAGTTTAAGTGTGACATATAAATACTATAGGTATTGTTCATTCATTTATAAACACCTATAACATACAGCCATTATGGTAGGCTCTGGGATATTAGCAAGCCTTATGTGCCATATAAAGTATCATCCCTGCCAACTGAACAGTATGACCTGGTTGGTGAATGCAGGCTCCACACACCCTCTCTGACAGTTCAAGAGCTGTAGATATTGGATCTTTCATCTCTGGTCTCAAAAGCCTTAAGTGGATCAGAAGAATACCAGAATTTCCTTTGAGAGATAGGAGATTCTTTTATGGATTAAGGTAAAATAAGACAAAGTTCGACTCATAATGGGCTCACTGAACCATTCAATTTTATTCACTAAGCAGGATGAAGCTCAATAAAGTAAATAATGTAAAAATAGACTGAGAAGAGTAATGGACTACCAGATGAGTAATCAATATTTGGGGGAGATTAAGAACTTATAAAATGTTCACATGATATTTTGTAATGTCTTTGTAGTACAGATTCATCTAAAGATGGCATTATTTTCAGAACTGTGGTTTAAATATGTTAAAATAACATTAGAATGGCTGAGCACAGTGGCTCACACCTGTAATCCCAATAATTTGGGAGGCCAAAGCAGACAGTCGGATCACTTTAGGCCGGGAATTAGATAGATACCAGCCTGGGCAGCCTAGTGAGACCTTGTCTCTACCATGAAAAAGTAAAATAAAATAGCCGGGTATGATGGTGCATGTCTGTTGTCCCAAGTACTTCGGAGGCTGAGGTGGGAGGATTGTTTGAGCCCAGGAGTTGGAGGATGCAGTCAACTATGATTATGCCACTGCACTCCAGCCCGGGTAACAGAGTGAAGCCCTGTCAAAAAAATAAATAAATAAATAAAAATACAATTAAAAAAATACTGTGGGAAACCAAAGAAAAGTCAGAGATACCATGAAATATGAAAAAATGGAGCTCTAACAAGCATTAATTGAATTTGAATGATCTGATATATAAAATAAATGTTGAAGAACTGTAATATTTTAAATATTGATTTAAATATTTAATTTTGTTTTAGTAATCACAAGAAGAAAAGTCTACATTTTTCTCCTCATAAGTGCAAATTCAACATTTAAATTGCAAAAATAATTATTTATTCAATTTCTTTCATTATTTTCCAGGTTCACATGATAGAGAAATATTACAGAATTTCTCTCACCAAAGAACTTTCATGGAGGACAGAATCTTATCAAATGAATTAATAATTAGTGATTACTTATAATATGCTGAGAACTGTGAATGTAAAGATTAATTAATATAGACTAACATAACTGAACAAGTAGTGTAATAAGAAATAGAGAATTTTTAAAAAAAATACTTCTAATGCATTGCATGTACTACTGAAAACTTATAGGACACATACAAGGTGCAAAGGCAACACAAGAAGCAGTTACTAATTCTCCATGTCACAATTAGGGAAAGCAAATGACACAGCAGATTGACATTTGGGAGATAATTTGCAGGATAAGCATGACTTTCTCAAGATGAAAAGTGTAAAAAAGCATTACAGACAGAGGGCAACAGCATAATCCAAGGCCCGAAGGTATAAATGTGCATGACATTTTGAAGGCCTTCTGGTGTAGTTACTACAAAAGTTATGCAAAAGTTGGATTCTATTAAGACTGTGAAGGGCCATGGAGTTTATCACAGGCAATGGGAAGCTACTGAGAATACTTCACAAAGAGAGTGAAATGATTGGATCTATTCTCCAATTAGACCTTGAGCTCCTAGGAAACAGGCAATCAGTCAAAAAAGTGGAGAAGGTACTGGATGATCCATATCCTTAAAATCAAGTGTGAGCAATATTTCATGAAAGAGCAAATGTTCAATGGTATTGAATGTTGGATAAAAGTGAAGATAATGAGAATGAAGATAAAAATACCATTGATTCAGACAAAGAAAAATAATCGATTTGGACTTCAGAACCATTTCCGTAGTGCAGTGGAAGTTAACACTTAAATGTATTGAACTGAAGGTAAATAGAAATGAAGCAAGGGCATGTGCATCAACTGACGAACCCACAGATTTGTTTAGATAATAAAAAGCAAGCAATGAGCAACATGGCATTGGTTTGAGGAAAAGGCAGGAATATTGGAAAATGTTATGTAAAATGGAAATTATAAAACCAAGTATATTGTAGGCTGACAAGAAGAGGATAGTGAAAAAGAAGAGTCAAAGGTATGAGAAACATATGGCAAAAGTCTAGATTGGGAAGGGAATGTGAAAAGAACATGGGTAGAAGATTTGTAAGGTGATACTTCTTTGTGGGAGAGGAAAGCTGGAGTGAAGACGTGGATATATTTGGAGGTTGAGCAATTCCACTGAGTAGATTATACAGTTAACAGGCTGGTTTCAGTGAGCCTGTTGAATTATAGGTAACAGTGGTAGGATTGGAGGGTTGAAAAAAATGGTGAGATTTGAATTGTCTCCTTTGGAGAATGCAAAAAATATGGAACTCTGGAGAGGAAAAGGAACAGGTGGATAGCCTGGAGGGTCCTGTAAATACAGAAATTATGAATTGTGAAGCCCATGCCCAGCTCTTGGATTGTTACATTAGTTGACATTTGATCTGGGTCTTTGAAGAAGTCATCAAACCAGTAGAGAAGGATTAGAAGGGCAATCCAGTAAGATAAATAAACTTAAAGAAAGGTCCAGGGATGAGAAAATGTGTCATATATACAGACAATAGAAATTTGAGGTAGTTATTCAATATATGGTATATAGTATAATATTAAAAACAAGAAACACAAAGCATATAGCTAGAAAAGATAATGAGGGACAGGGGCCAGTGACAACATTGGAAAGATAAGTCGAGGTAGATGACAAGGACCTTAAATGCCATATGAAGAGGTTTGAAATCCATTCTGTAAATAGAATGTTGTTAATAACTTTAATAAAGGAATTGAATTAATTGGAATGTTTACAAAAACAACTGGCAAAAATACAAAACCAAGATTGGATTGGTGAAGACTGTATTTATCTAACCACTTACCTGGAAAATCTAATTCCTTGGGTTCCCATGATGAATCCATGGCATTGTGTAGATAAAGAAGTTCTAAAAACTTAACACAATTTATCTACACATGACCATGAGTTCAACTGTTTAAATGGATTCATTAAGCAAGTGATTAGCTTAATTGGTTTTGCATTTCAACTGACCAATTGTTTCAGTAAACACATACACTTTGAAGTTTGTTATACCATGCTATTCTTCACAAGATTCATGAATATTCAGAAATTAAATATTGAGTTTATACTCTGTACCAATATTTATTGAGTTCCCTATTCTCTAAGCAGGTGTAGTCAAAACTATTGCTTCTACATCACACCAGTGAATAAACTTTACACTGGAAACACAAAGATAAATTAGCCTAGTATTGTACTTTTCTTTCTATATCTATAATATAACATTTTATATTGCCAACATGTTATAGTGTTTGCTTCCCATCTCAAATCCTGCTCTTGTTTCCAAGAGTATAATAAAATTAATCCACCTACTCAATGGAAAGAATTAGACTGTATTCAAAATTCAGTTACTGTGGTACACACACACACATACACACACACACACACACACACACACACGCATATGTGCATTTATTTTACTCTATTGGAAAAGGAAATAGCCTGGGATTTGAGAGTCTTGGGTTTATGTCTGAGTTCTACAAAATTGAGCTCTGTGCCCTTGGGTGTATCCATTGAAATTATATTATTTCAGTTTCTTCAAATGAAGAATAAGGGAGTTAGAATATTTCTTTTTTGTTGCAGAAGGTTCTATGATACAATTTTTTGGGGTCAGCTTCAATATTATGTGCTTTCAATCTCCTCTAAGTCTCATAAGTCCCACAGTCTATGTGGGAAAGAGGTCAGTTTAATCTAGGCTTTGTCCATTTCTGCAGTTCAGCCATGTCTGTACATACTTGTCAAGCTAGTGGAACATACTGGAGACGAGTAGCCTTCATTTATGCATTTCATAGGAGTTTCCATTTGTTTAATAAGGAAGAGGAGAGCACTGAGCTCTTGGTATCTGGATATAGGATTTATTATTTATTTTATTTTTGTTTTTATTTTTATTTTTTTAGATGGAGTTTCGCTCTTGTTGCCCAGGCTGGAGTGCAATGGCAGGATCTCAGCTCACCGTAACCTCTGCCTCCCGCGTTCAAACGATTCTCTTGCCTCAGCCTCCCAAGAAGCTGGGATTACAGGCACCTGCCACCACACCCAGCCATTTTTTTGTATTTTTAGTAGAGATGGGGTTTCGCTATGTTGACCAGGCTGGTCTGAAACTCCTGACCTCAAGTGATCTGCCCACCTCGGCCTCCCATAGTGCTGGGATTACAGGCATGAGCCACTGCGCCCAGCCTGGATATGGGATTTAAGAAGTGTTGGGGAACTAAAAAATGGAAAGGACAGGATAGAGACTCTCTTTTTTCTGGGTTTCAAGTCTGTTGAAAAAGAGGCTGTAATCCCAAACTGAATGAAAGAGATACTTACAGCCTCTAAGAGTAAAGGATGACACTAAGTAGGAAAGAGAAACATTTCTATTAAGAACAGAAGATTCAAGGAAAGTTTGTTGTTGAAACTTCTAGAAACAACACAGGACAGAGGAGGAGGACTAAGTTTTTCCATTATATATATGAGCATCAAGCAGGTTGAACAGTGAAATAAATGCTGTACATATTAATTAAGCCTACAAACATAGGCCAATGGAGCTGGAGAAATTAAATTTGGACATCATCTCATGATCATGCAATCTCTTTCTTTTATGTCTTAGAATAAAGTTTTTATATTAAACAGTTTATAAGGTACAAGCAAAGCTACTTGTTCAAGGGCACCCTGGCTCTGAAGTTGGCTACCTGCTTTCTTTGTTACCTTCCTCCTCCCATTTAGATAGACTTCTCTCCTTCTCTGTGCTCCCACAGCAGCTGTTTGTACCTGTCTTAAGTCATAATATTAATGCTTTTATTTTTGTATAACAATTTCATCGGTATGCATCTTAACTCCTAATTTGTGAACTAGTTCATTCAGAGGCAGAATGCTGTTAATTTTTAAAACCCAGAAAAATCTCAATACTTAGCCTACACGACCTTAGGCAGCAACTAACATAGTTGACCCTCTTTCTATTACCATTTATGTCACTGAAATTCACAGATAGGATTTCCCCTGCAATCTCTTCCAGTTTATTCCCCTTCTCCTTTGCTAGTGACCTCCTTGTCCTGAATATTTTTGTAGTATACCTTCAGTCTCAACACCTCTCTGCTCCTTCTCCATCTTATGTCTTCCTCTAGTCTAGGAGATCTCATCTAAATATATGCTGATGATTCCCAGGTTCATAGCTCCAGCCTGAACTCTCTCATAACTCCAGAGGAAGACAGTCAAACACACATCTGACAGACATCTTTATGTGAATGTCCAAAATGTATCACAAGCATAAGATATCCAAAAACAACTTTTTGATTTGTTCTTCCCCATATTCCTCCAGAACTTTGCTCTTCCCATACTTCAATTGCTCAGGCCCAAAATTTATTAATCCTCCTTGCCTCTTCTTTTTCTGTACACTGAAACTAATCAATCTATACATCTGTATAGTGAGATATATACTGAATTTAACCACTCTTCAATTCCTCACTATCTTCCTAGTCCAAGACACCATGATATCCCTCATAAACCGCTGCAGTGGTTTTTCAAGTCTCTCTGGGTACACTCTTACCTACTACACATGGTTCTATAAACTCAACAGACAGCATGATCTTTTAAAAACATAAATCAGACTTTGTCACTCTGATAGTCAGGAAACTTATCAGGGTTTCCATCTCAAATGGCATAAAACAGGAATTTCAAGGTCACTTCCTACCTCTCTGAAACTCATTTCCTATCACTCCTCTACCCTATTTTCACACTTTGGCCCTTTCTACTGCATGCTAAGATTATTCCTATTTCATGGTGTGCATAGTTATTTTTCTCTCTGTTTAGAACATTTTTCTTCCGGATCATCATATGAACATCTGCATCATTTATTTCTTCAATTAAGTATCACCTTCTCACAGGGATCTTTTTTAACCATGGCCTTTATCTATTTCCTCATGTGCTTTAGTTTTCTCCATAGCACCTCACACCACCTAAGATTATATGTTCTTGTTATATCTGATCTGATTTCCTTTATAGAATGTACACTACCTAAGGACAGGTAACTTTTTTTTATGTTTTGTAGATACAGTACTTAAAAAAATTGGAATATAGTAAATAATAACATTTTTGTATCTAAGAACAGAGAACTTGTTTTATGTTTTGTATACACAGTACTTAAAAAAATTGGAATATAGTAAATAATAACATTTTTGATGAATGAATGAATAACTCTTTCTCCCCAAACTTCTGTCTTCTTTATTCCCTGCTATGGTAGGTGGTACCACTTTTTATGAAACTGGGAAGAAATATAAGATTCTGTGTTTCTCACTACTCAAATCCAATGAGCCAATAACTTTTAGTGTTTCTCCCTCCTAAATAACTTTTTCTTCCCTTCCTTATGGCACTGTTACAGTGTAATGTTGTTTATGCTTGTGAGTGTATGCAGATCTGTATTTTAATATTTTATTATCTTTTTTTTGTACTTATTTCCTATCTTGTCTTCCTTATCTAAATGTGTACTCCCTCCCCTCCCTCTATTCACCAATCTATTCTTTAAACGAAAAGGTATTTATGTTTTCTATTATATAAGTCTGTTCAAATATCTCTCCTCCTTTAAACCTTTCACTGTCTTCTGTAGCCCAGAGGGTGAAATCTAAGCAATCAGTTTGCTGTCTTTTCACCCATAACCTTGCCAGGGTCCTCAACCTTACCTCTGCCCATTGTCCTTTCACTCGTGAAGCTTCTATAATATGGTTGAAGGACTTCAGCTTTTCTGGGAGATCCACGGCATGTCCCCCTCAATGTATTTTTACTGTGAGTAGCCTGAACCCACTAACTTGCTTCTTCTGGAAAACTCCTTTGCAGTCACAGCTTTGACATTTCCTTCTTCAGAAAACATTTCTTTACTCTCCAGACTGAGTCACTGTCTCTTCAGTGTCATCTCTATGTTTTGTTCTTACTATACTTTAAGTTCTGGGGTACACGTGCAGAACGTGCAGTTTTGTTACATAGGTATACATGTGCCATGGTGGTTTGCTGCACCCATCAACCTGTCACCTACATTAGGTATTTCTCCTAATGCTATCCCTCGTCTAGCCCCCCACCCCCTGACAGGCCCCACTGTGTGATGTTCCCCTCCCTGTGTCCATGTGTTCTCATAGTTCAACACCCAACTATCACAAGAACAGAAAACCAAACAGCTTTACGTTTTAAATGTGCTTCTACTGTTGCATTCTGTATTTAGTATTCCATTGCATTAGCTCACATATTTGACTCCCCTACTAACCTGATAACTCCTTAAAGAAGGGCACAGTGTTTATTCATCTCTTAATACTTTAAATGAAGATACAGAACAGACTTGGCACATAGAAGGCTTATGAATACATGAATATTTGCCAAACTGAATTAAAATACACTTCTATAAACTATGTTACATATAGGCTAGTTGCTTTTCAATAAACCAACTGTTTTCATAAGTTTATTTTAAATTTTACTTAAGTCCTTTATCCTCTGATTTGAAAAATAATTTTATTGCTGAGGAGAGGATAGCAGGAAGATATTCTTTCATTTTAAAACTCATCTGGTAATGAATTCCTTCAAATTAGAAATTTGAACAATAGGAGTGTCACAATAAAAAAGTATAAGTTGGAGGAATGAAAGCATGACAAGAATAGAAAATGCCCACAGCTATATTCATTGGTAACTAGTTAGAACGAGTCAAACTGAAATACTTTAACATGATTTACTAATAAAGCAAAAGAATTATTATATGGTTTTAGTTTCCCTACTTAAGATCTACTGTCCAACAAAGGTAAAACCACACATGACTTTTGAAAAATAAAAATCTGAGGAGAAAAAAGAAAAATAAAAATCTGAGGAGAGGACTTAATGAAGGGGATGACGTCTTGTCTCTTTTTGTCTCTACATAGCCAAAGAAAAAAGAAGCATTTGGTGAGGTGGTTAAATCCCTAGACCAGAAGCTGGAAGCCTTCAGTTCAAGGTCAGTGATTTAGCTCCTTAAATAGGAGCTTCCAGGCCTAACCCTTAAGTACTCTGAACCTCCACTCTCTCTTCTGTAAGATGGAAAAATGACTCTGGACTTCCCTACTTTCCAAAGATGCTGCTACTAGGATTAAGTGCCCTGCCCTCCACCTGGGCTGGATGGCGGACAGGTTTCAAGGTGTGCCAGCATCTCTCTCTCTACCTTCTTCAAGTACATCCTTTTTTTTTTTTTGGCTTCAAATGCCTTATCCTGTCTCCATTCTTTACCTGCTGAGACTCAAATAAAACAAATTCCAAAAAAGCTTTCTCTTACTGTCCTAGACAGAATTAAATATTTCTGCATGTGGTTTGTTGTCCACAGATCATTTGTTTGTCTCCTCTCACTGGGCAGTGAACTGCTAGGGGGCAGGAGTCGTGTTCTCCTCTTCTCTGAACCAGAAGCTACTATCAGCGTGATTGACCCACGCAAGGTACTTAAAGCATGGGTGCAGAATGAATGAATACAGGGATGAAAAACAGAAGGAATTTTCATCATGGCTCCTTCAGTTCCGTGTCATGGCTTACTTTTGCTGCTAGCTATGCCTTGTGATAAGGAAATGTAGACATTTTAACCATAGAATGCCCTCTCCCACCACCACTAATCCTTAGGAAATTAGGAAAACAAATACACTTCATGTCTCTGGAAGCATTTTCAAATAGCTTTACCAGGACCTCTGAGATTCTCTTCCTTTCATTTTGCAAAGTAGGATATACAACACAGAGACAAGTATACCTGAGTCTTTTAGTCTTTTTCTCCTATACTGACATTTTCCTCCACAAAGGCTACTTATCAATAGGCGCCTAAGAAGTTTCAACCTGTGGTCTGCCAAACTCATTCTATTTTATTTCATTTCCAGAAAGAATTGTGCCTAAGTTGTTACAGTTCCCGGACTGATTGCACCAGAAGTTTTAGAAGCAAACATTGCATTGCACAGATTTCGGAACTTGGGTCATAATTTTAGCACTGTCACCAAGATAACAGAGACCTAGGCAGTGAACCTCAAAGATGGGCAAACATATTCCTAGAAGATCTGTATTCAGAAAGTGCTTTAACTGAAGTTTTGAGACAAAATAGTAAATTGTCAGAAATCACTTCGAAAGACTGGTGGCAGAATGACTATAGAGACTCTGGCATAAAATGTGAATATCTCAAAAGAATGACAAAGATAATGAGGATACTTGTAACCCCAGAATATTCAGAAAGAATGGAGAAATTGTTAGGTAGAAGAGGGTTTAGACATATAATATATTAATACAAGGCTTCAAAATAGAACCACTGGAGAAAAAATGACATTTAGGCAGATTCCAGTCAGTACAGTATATAAAAAAATATGTTGATAAAGTGGTAAAACACAGAATGGAATACTTTGGATCAATATAGAGCTCGATCTAGATGCCAGGTGGTTTATAGATATATATTATTTTCATATAATTCAATACATTTCTGTGATGTACTAATTTCTTTGTTACAGGCAAAGGATGAAATTCAAAAACCAAGTTGCAGAGAAATATTTGAACTAAAATATACTTGGTTCTAAAGCTTTTTTTGTTCTTTCACATCAATGATTCTTAAGCACAGGGTTATCATTTATTTTGCAGCAAAACAGAAAAGATTCACAAAGCTGGAACCTGAAATTTTACGAGTCTAAGATTCCATGAATTTATATATAAAATCATTAAGACACAGTAAGTATGAAGTCTGCAAGCCAGTCAAGCTCATAGACAGATTTTAAAAAACTTTTTAAAATGAAACAAATGCTGTTCTAGGGAAATAATTATTAAGAAATTGTGGCCTTTGTTCAAAATCTGACAAAAGTACAAACTTCCTCCTCAGGATGCTTTGCATTTTAAATTCAAGGTGACCTTCAATCCCATTCATGAACATTCGGTGTTTACTTCTTACTTAGCTTAACCTTTTTTCAAAGACTTCTGACAATTTCTGCTTTTAGAGTCCCCATAAATATTCAACTTTTAAAAATTAAAACTTGACTGAGGGAAAATTCTGATGTTTTGATTTGAGGAAAAACATTGATTTGACCTCTAGCAGCTAAGAGCACCTTAAGATTTGCATTTTTATCACTGTACACTTGCATCTGATTATGTTAAGGAGAAATCTGCAATTGTTCCTGTGTTTTTCATAGTAACCTTTAGCTTCCTGAATGTGTAATCAATCTTTATTTAAAAGGAAAAGATCACTTTTGTCTGAGATTTCTGTGCTTTTCTATAATACATATTTTCTTTTATTTCAAGATACAGTTTTTCTTTAGAATAATTTCATTTACCTATAGTTTATCAAAGATAACTTTAATTTTCTATTTTTTCTTCTTTTTTTTTAGAAATGCCAGACACTAATTACAAGACTGAAGATTTGTGATTATTAAAGTGATAAGTTTCCAGTGACATATACATGAAATGCCAGCACATAGCTAATATCACTGACCACATGGACTGCTGGGGACATGGATTCCTAAATGCTATGTATGTGCTCACTTTCACTTTAATGTAAGTTTTAATTAAAAGCCTCATTACTTGGGCTCTCCTGTGTATATATGGCATTAGTGTGTATTTTAGATCATCTCAAAATTGGCAAAAACAATTATGGTTAAAAATAATAGTATTTATAAAAATTTATATAGAACTTCTCCAGTAAATTCATCAAAAATACTCTGATTTATCTATGCAGATTGCAGGAGGAAATAGAGTGTTTTGCCATCTTAGGACTCCACCTTTGCCTGGTACTGAAACTTTTAAACTGACCACAGTAAATAGTCATATACAGGACAAGATCAGACTGGATATAAGTGACATAAGTCAAATACTTCCAAAATCCTTTCTGCATACCAATCTCTCAGAAAAGATTAATTTCAAAACCCTGATTCTGTCTATTATACTGTAACTCTAATTTCCTTTGAAACTACAAAGGGAATAAAGCAACTAAAATAGAGTACCAGATTGTAAAGGTGGTAATTGTCATATCTTGGGTAAATTACTTAATTCCTTTATATGTAAAGTGGGAATAACAATAATACTTCAAAGGGTTGTTGTGAATATTAACTAGGTAGGCATATAAAGTGGTATATAATATAAGCTCAATATGTTACAGTTATTACCACAGCATAAATTTCTTCCCCCAGTTTCATCTCAGATCGCAGAAGAGCAAAATGAATTGGCTTGCATTTCAAATTGATTCCATAGCTTTAATAATTCTTATATTTTATTTTTCTGCATTTAGAGACTAGTATGAATTATGTATATATGCATATATGTAAAGTGTGTATTTTATATATATATATATTCAAAATATTAAGAAGAGCTTAACATCACATGGCTCTCCCTATAAAGGATTATATTTGGATTTACATGATTGCTCTGGCTATAGCTTTGTATCATTTCCAAATTTTAAGGGATACATAAAATGTGCTAATATACATAAGCAATTTATTTACTACGAGCTCCAATGTTGATTTGGTTATATTATAGACAGTATGAAAGCACATATTTGAGCTGAAATACTGCTTCACACATACAAGTCCAAAATTGCACAGGAAATTTTTAACATTTAGAGTTCTAATGAGACAGCTTTACATGCATCTTGAGAAAGCAGCAGTGGAAAGTCTCTTTTTGTCACAGATGTAAGGGTAATAAATAA
This sequence comes from Homo sapiens, assembly GCF_000001405.40. Lineage (NCBI taxonomy): Eukaryota > Metazoa > Chordata > Mammalia > Primates > Hominidae > Homo > Homo sapiens. The sequence goes on along the minus strand of NC_000006.12, from coordinate 68,793,950 downwards.
TATGTTAAATATATACAGTTTGCAGATTTAATACAAAAAATGCTTCAATGATGACTGAGTTTGTAACTTATATAATCTGTAAATGGGGTGATAATTTTATCCAATTAAAAATTTTAAATATACGCTGGGCGTGGTGGCTTATGCCTGTAATCCCAGTATTTTGGGAGGAGCAGGCAGCCAGATCATATGAGGTCAGGAGTTTGAGACCAATCTGGCCAACAGGGGTAAACCCTGTCTCTATTAAAAATAAAAAAATTAGCCGAGCATGGTGGCACGCGCCTGTATTTCCAGCTACTTGAGAGGCTGAAGCAGGAGAATCACTTAAACCCAGGAGGCAGAGGTTGCAGTGAGCTGAGATCGTGCCACTGCACTCTAGCCTAGGTGACAAAGTGAGACTCGTCTTAAAAAATAATAATAATAAATAGATACATTATAGAATATAACCTTGAAGAAAATTATGAATGTCATAAAAACAAGTTCATCCACAAAGACAAAATAATTCACACTAGAAAGGATATAAAGATATGATCTGTAGCTATAAATAATATGTGTAATACACATACACACATGCACACACAGGAAGAATACAAAAGATGTAGAATAGCATTACTTGGTAAAGCATTGAGTACATGGACAAAATGTGTGATCTGTTGGTTTGTTAAGTTACAGTAACAAGCAGAATATTTTAAAGGTGAAAATCTAGATATGAACTTACAAAGGTGGAATTAATATGCCAGCGTAACCCTGAGATGCACGAACAGTTTACAGGACATGTACACGAACTTGTGCTATTTCAGTCTACTTAGTTACAATTATGTGCCTGCAATGTCTTGCCCTAGGTTTATCAGGATCGCAAACTGAATCAAAAAGCTAAACATTTTAATTCCCTGACATAAAGAAAATGAAAAAAAAAGTACCAGAAATAATTCTGAATGCTTGATGACAGGAAGTGCCGAAAAAACAGACAAACAAACAGTAAAATGAAGTAGCTATCAAAAATGGCCAGAAATATGCTTCCTGAAGTTAAACAACTGTGTATGACCAGGGGTTAACTTTGCTGAGACTGTAGATCATGTAAATATTACACAGTGTCCATGGAGTAATCCTGGACATTTGCTCCAGTATCTGAAGTATAAGAGTTGGGGACATCGGCGGGAAGGCTGTTTACTGTTGATAAAAAATAAGTATCACCAGGGTATCCTTGTTTCTGCCCAACAGAGACAAAATTACAATTTAGACTCCGTATATTAAAACAACTGGTTTTTACAAATAGGATTGAAAATGCCACATCTCTTGACAGTGAAAGGAAATGCTGATAGTGCAGAGTAAATAGATTGTAGATTGAAGGAGGAAATATGTTCCTGAAGTATGTTCCAGGACAACACAAATACCAACATGAAGGAATTCAGCTCAGAGACAGGGAAGCCTGCAGAGTCATAGGGCCACAAGCACTTGTAAGAGAAGGAAAACCAAGGCCTTACTCAGAATTTAAAGGCCTCTTAAGCAAGAAACTAAGTACCTACTGTTATTTAGCAATAATGGCCCTGAAACAAGGCCAAGCATTAATGCTCATAGGACAGGAGCAATGCTAAATGCTTGTTAGAATCTTTAACCAGATGACTTCTCTACTGTTCGGTTTGACTTTTCTACTTTTAGGTTAGTGTCATGCTAGTTCCTCAGTGAGGAAGACACAAGTGGATTCCTGACCATTAAAGATGTCTATACCTAGACTTCTTTATGAATTGCAGAATTCATCAGTCATTCTCACAAATACAGTTAGCTTTTGAAATTTGTGAGTAAAACAATCTATAGAGAAACCTGGTGTAGGAGCACTGTATTTTAACTGTTCTAGTCAAGATTCTAAAACATAGAGATGGTAAAAAGAGGAAAGCAATCTCCATCTTTTTACCAATTTTTTTCTTAACAAAGATTTTTTCTCTGGATAAACTACAGGTTATACTGACACTGCCCTGGCTGACCACTTGTTCAATCCTGCATTAACCTTCATAGATTTTGGACTCTGATTTCATCCCTAGAACTTGTCTTTTCATGCTTGCCAAGCCACAACTTAGATTTGCCTACAACCATTATTATATTTTTGGCTTGGCCAAAATGTTCTATATTGTCACATTGAACTGATTTTTAATTTACTTTATTTAAACATAATATAATTTCAAATACATAATTTGAATAATACCTTTACCTTGCTCATCAACATCTCTTGTGGATTATATTTTAATTTATCTTCAAGAAGATCTTTTTAGAGGGTGAAGATGTGGTCACACTTTTACATATATGGCAAATGAGGCATAGTTTCCTCCTTCAAAGTCAGCAAACCATTGAAAGTTAAAATTACACAGTTAGAAGTGAAGTTCTAGTTTGCCGATTAAGACAATCTGCAGTGTCTCTGCAATAACCAGCACCGAATTTTTTTTTCCCAGGAGGAAATTGAATTTTCCTAAACAGTCAAGTTCCACAGAAACAACAAGAAAAAGAGCAAAAATAAAAAGCAATAAAAGAAACGTTCCACTAATTTTCTTCACACTTCTATAATGCATATAGTTATTATACTTATGTAGCATATACCTATATTGTATGAACACACACTTTTATACTTGTTTTAAAAGCAACATTTTCTAATATTCACTTGCATGGTCATGAATCACTCTGTAATTACGTGCATATGGGCACAGGTGTGAGAGGACATAAATGAATATTACCTTTAGAATGATTATACTGATAATTTTAACATTTTTTTCTGAATAAAACCCTACTGATAAGTTAGAGAAAGATATTGCTAAGGAAACTCAGAAGGTAAAGACATAAGTTGTTTTAAGGATACTTGTCACTTAAGTATGTAATTTGTCACTTAAAGATACAAGACTTTTTTTTTTTTTTTTTAAGAGATGTGGTCTCACTGTGCTGCCCAGGATGGTCTCAAACTCCCGGCCTCAAGCGATCCTCTCCTCAGTCTCCCAAGTAGCTGAAATTACGGGCACAGTGGCAATATAAGATATTTTAAAAATCAGTCATAAATGGTGAGGAGCTGCGTTCCTTTGGAGGAGGAGAGGCACTCTGATTTTTAGAGTTTCCGGTTTTTCTGCTCTGTTTTTTTCCCATCTTTGTGGTTTTATCTACCATTGGTCTTTGATGATGGTGACGTACAGATGGGTTTTTGGTGTGGATGTCCTTTCTGTTTGTTAGTTTTCCTTCTAACAGACAGGATCCTCAGCTGCAGGTCTGTTGGAGTTTGCTAGAGGTCCACTCCAGACCCTGTTTACCTGGGTATCTGCAGTGGTGGCTGCAGAACAGCAGATATTGGTGAACCGCAGATGCTGCTGCCTGATCGTTCCTCTGGAAGTTTTGTCTCAGAGGAGTACCTGGCCATGTGAGGTGTCAGTCTGCCCCTACTCGGGGGTGCCTCCCAGTTAGGCTACTCGGGGGTCAGGGACCCACTTGAGGAGGCAGTCTGCCCGTTCTCAGATCTCAAGCTGCGTGCTGGGAGAACCACCACTCTCTTCAAAGCTGTCAGAGAGGGACATTTAAGTCTGCAGAGGTTAGTGCTGTCTTTTTGTTTGTCTGTGAACTGCCCCCAGAGGTGGAGCCTACAGAGGCAGGCAGGCCTCCTTGATTAGGCCACTTTGTTTACCTAAACAAACAACTAACTCAACAATGGCGGGCACCCCTCCCCCAGCCTCCCTGCTGCCTTGCAGTTTGATCTCGGACGCTGTGCTAGCAATTTTGTCTCTGTTGGGCAGAAACAAGGATACCCTGGTGATAAGGAAAATGACTTTGACAAGTTGAGAGAAGAAGGCTTCAGATGATCAAACTACTCTGAGCTACAGGAGGAAATTCGAATGAATGGCAAAGAAGTTAAAAGCTTTGAAAAAAAATTAGACGACCAGATAACTAGAATAACCAATGCAGAGAAGTCCTTAAAGGACCTGATGGAGCTGAAAACCAAGGCATAAGAGCTACGTGACAAATGCAGAAGCCTCAATAGCCGATGCGATCAACTGGAAGAAAGGGTATCAGCAATGGAAGACGAAATTAATGAAATGCAGCGAGAAGAGAAGTTTAGAGAAACAAGAATAAAAAGAAATGAACAAAGCCTCCAAGAAATATGGGACTATGTGAAAAGACCAAATCTATGTCTGATTGGTGTACCTGAAAGTGATGGGGAGAATGGAACCAAGTTGGAAAACACTCTGCAGGATATTATCCAGGAGAACTTCCCCAATCTAGCAAGGCAGGCCAACATTCAGATTCAGAAAATACAGAGAATGCCACAAAGATACTCATCGAGAAGAGCAACTCAAAGACACATAATTGTCAGATTCACCAGTTGAAATGAAGGAAAAAATGTTAAGGGCAGCCAGAGAGAAAGGTCGGATTACCCACAAAGGGAAGCTCATCAGACTAACAGCTGATCTCTCCGCAGAAACTCTACAAGCCAGAAGAGTGTGGGGACCAATATTCAACATTCTTAAAGAAAAGAATTTTCAACCCAGAATTTCATATCTAGCCAAACTAAGCTTCATAAGTGAAGGAGAAATAAAATACTTTACAGACAAGCAAATGCTGAGAGATTTTGTCACCACCAGGCCTGCCCTAAAAGAGCTCCTGAAGGAAGCACTAAACATGGAAAGGATCAACTGGTACCAGCCACTGCAAAAACATGCCAAATTGTAAAGACCATCAAGGCTAGGAAGAAACTGCATCAACTAACGAGCAAAATAACCAGCTAACATCATAATGACAGGATCAAATTCACACATAACAATATTAACTTTAAATGTAAATGGGCTAAATGCTCCAATTAAAAGACACAGACTGGCAAATTGGATAAAGAGTCAAGACCCATCAGTGTGCTGTATTCAGGAAACCCATCTCACGTGCAGAGACACACATAGGCTCAAAATAAAGGGATGGAGGAAGATCTACCAAGCAAATGGAAAACAAAAAAAGGCAGGGTTTGCAATCCCAGTCTCTGCTAAAACAGACTTTAAACCAACAAAGTTCAAAAGAGACAAAGAAGGCCATTACATAATGGTAAAGGGATCAATTCAACAAGAAGAGCTAACTATCCTATATGTATATGCACCCAATACAGGAGCACCCAGATTCATAAAGCAAGTCCTTAGTGACCTACAAAGAGACTTAGACTCCCACACATTAATAATGGGAGACTTTAACACCCCATTGTCAACGTTAGACAGATCAAAGAGACAGAAAGTTAACAAGGATACCCAGGAATTGAACTCAGCTCTGCGCCAAGCGGACCTAATAGACATCTCTAGAACTCTCCACCCCAAATCAACAGAATATACATTCTTTTCGGCACCACACCACACCTACTCCAAAACGGACCACATAGTTGGAGTAAAGCACTCCTCAGGAAATGTAAAAGAACAGAAATTATAACAAACTGTCTCTCAGACCACAGTGCAATCAAACTAGAACTCAGGATTAAGAAACTCACTCAAAACTGCTCAACTACATGGAAACTCAACAACCTGTTCCTGAATGACTACTGAGTAAATAATGAAATGAAGGCAGAAATAAAGATGTTCTTTGAAACCAACGAGAACAAAGACACAACATACCAGAATCTCTGGGACACATTCAAAGCTGTGTGAAGAAGGAAATTTATAGCACTAAATGCCCACAAGAGAAAGCAGGAAAGATCTAAAATTGACACCCTAACATCACAATTAAAAGAACTAGAAAAGCAAGAGCAAACACATTCAAAAGCTAGCAGAAGGCAAGAAATAATTAAGATCAGAGCAGAACCGAAGGAAATAGAGACACAAAAAACCCTTCAAAAAATTAATGAATCCAGGAGCTGGTTTTTTGAAAAGATCAACAAAATTGATAGACTGCTGGCAAGACTAATAAAGAAGAAAAGAGAGAAAAATCAAATAGACGCAATAAAAAATGATAAAGGGGATATCACCACCAATCCCACAGAAATACAAACTACCATCAGAGAATACTATAAACACCTCTATGCAAATAAACTAGAAAATCTAGAGGAAATGGATAAATTCCTCCACACATATATCCTCCCAAGACTAAACCAGGAAGAAGTTGAATCTCTGAATAGACCAATAACAGGCTCTGAAATTGAGGCAATAATCAATAGCTTACCAACCAAAAAAAGTCCAGGACCAGATGGATTCACAGCCGATTTCTACCAGAGGTACAAATAGGAGCTGGTAGCATTCTTTCTGAAACTATTCCAATCAATAGAAAAAGAGGGAATCCTCCCTAACTCATTTTATGAGGCCAGCATCATCCTGATACCAAAGACTGGCAGAGACACAACCAAAAAACAGAATTTTAGACCAATATTCTTGATGAACATCGATGCAAAAATCCTCAGTAAAATACTGGCAAACCGAATCCGGCAGCACATCAAAAAGCTTATCCACCATGATTAAGTGGGCTTCATCCCTGGGATGCAAGGCTGGTTCAAAATACGCAAATCAATAAATGTAATCCAACACATAAACAGAACTAAAGACAAAAAACACATGATTATCTCAATAGATGCAGAAAAGGCCTGTGACAAAATTCAACAACGCTTCATGCTAAAAACCCTCAATCAATTAGGTATTGATGAGATGTATCTCAAAATAATAAGAGCGATCTATGACAAACCCACAGCCAATATCATACTGAATGGGCAAAAACTGGAAGCATTCCCTTTGAAAACTGGCACAAGACAGGGATGCCCTCTCTCACCACTCCTATTCAACATAGTGTTGGAAGTTCTGGCCAGGGCAATCATGCAGGAGAAGGAAATAAAGGGTATTCAATTAGGAAAAGAGGAAGTCAAATTGTCCCTGTTTGCAGATTACATGATTGTATATCTAGAAAACGCCATCATCTCAGCCCAAAATCTCCTCAAGCTGATAAGAACTTCAGCAAAGTCTCAGGATACAAAATCAATGTGCAAAAATCACAAGCATTCTTATACATCAATAACAGACAAACAGAGAGCCAAATCATGAGTGAACGCCCATTCACAATTGCCTCAAAGAGAATAAAATACCTAGGAATCCAACTTACAAGGGATGTGAAGAACCTCTTCAAGGAGAACTACAAACCACTGCTCAATGAAATAAAAGAGGATACAAACAAATGGAAGAAAATTCCATGCTCATGGGTAGGAAGAATCAATATCGTGAAAATGGCCATACTGCCCAAGGTAATTTATAGATTCAATGCCATCCCCATCAAGCTACCAATGACTTTCTTCACAGAATTGGAAAAAACTACTTTAAAGTTCATATGGAACCAAAAAAGAGCCTGCATCACCAAGTCAATCCTAAGCCAAAAGAACAAAGCTGGAGGCATCATGCTACCTGAATTCAAACTATACTACAAGGCTACAGTAACCAAAACAGCATGGTACTGGTACCAAAACAGAGATATAGACCAATGGAACAGAACAGAGCCCTCAGAAATAACGCTGCATATCTACAACTATCTGATCTTTGACAAACCTGACAAAAACAAGAAATGGGGAAAGGATTCCCTATTTAATAAATGGTGCTGGGAAAACTGGCTAGCCATATGTAGAAAGCTGAAACTGGATCCCTTCTTTACACCTTATACAAAAATTAATTCAAGATGGATTAAAGACTTAAATGTTAGACCTCAAACCATAAAAACCCTAGAAAAAAACCTAGGCAATACCATTCAGGACATAGGCATGGGCAAGGACTTCATGTCTAAAACACCAAAAGCAATGGCAACAAAAGCGAAAATTGACAAATGGGATCTAATTAAACTAAAGAGCTTCTGCACAGCAAAAGAAACTACCATTAGAGTGAACAGGCAACCTACAGAATCGGAGAAAATTTTTGCAACCTACTCATCTGACAACGGGCTAATATCCAGAATCTACAATGAACTCAAACAAATTTACAAGAAAAAAACAACCCCATCAAAAAGTGGGCAAAGGATATGAACAGACACTTCTCAAAAGAAGACATTTATGCAGCCAAAAAACACATGAAAAAATGCTCATCATCACTGGCCATCAGAGAAATGCAAATCAAAATCACAATGAGATACCATCTCACACCAGTTAGAATGGCGATCATTAAAAAGTCAGGAAACAACAGGTGCTGGAGAGGATGTAGAGATATAGGAACACTTTTATGCTGTTGGTGGGACTGTAAACCATTTCAACCATTGTGGAAGTTGGTGTGGCGATTTCTCAGGGATCTAGAACTAGAAATAGCATTTGACCCAGCCATCCCATTACTGTGTATATACACAAAGGATTATAAATTATGTGCCTATAAAGACACATGCATATGTATGTTTATAGCGGCACTATTCACAATAGCAAAGACTTGGAACCAACTCAAATGTCCAACAACGATAGACTGGATTAACAAAATGTGGCACATATACACCATGGAATACTATGCAGCCATAAAAAATGATGAGTTCATGTCCTTTGTAGGGACATGGATGAAGCTGGAAACCATCATTCTCAGCAAACTATCACAAGGACAAAAAACCAAACACCGCATGTTCTCACTCATAGGTGGGAATTGAACAAAGAGAACACATGGACATAGGAAGGGGAACATCACACACCAGGGACTGTTGTGGGGTGGGGGGAGGGGGGAGGGATAGCATTAGGAGATATATCTAATGCTAAATGACGAGTTAATGGGTGCAGCACACCGACATGGCCCATGCATACATATGTAACAAACCTGCACGTTGTGCACATGTACCCTAAAACTTAAAGTACAATAATAATAAAATTTTAAAAAATAAAGTAAAATCAGTCATACATCAATTCTGATATAAGCTCATTAATTCTAAATAATTATTTTGCAAAATAAATAGTGATGATGAAGCTCTAGGAGATTCAGGGGTTCTTTCATCCCTTTCTCATATGGTTATTATCCATAATTAAATTCAGCCATTACTTGTTTTTATTCACCTAAACTGCTATAATCACAATATTTGGCAGTAATCTGAGAATTTTGACATTCAAATAAATAAAATGAACACTACTAAACTCTATGAAGGAAAAGAAAACAAGGCAAGGAAATGTACTACTTTAGTATCAAGAATTCTTTCTACTTTGCTGATATACAGCTACCTCCATTTTAACACAGATGAGATATAACTCAAATGAGTGCATACGAGAAAGTAAAATCAAAGAAGGCAGGAAAATAATTTTTCATCTGTTTGTGAGCAGACCAGAAATGCATTTCTACCTTTAAAGCACCTTGCAGCATAATGGAAACAAGGTGAAGCTAAGTTTAAAGCTCATATAAAAATATTCAGCAGCTTTTTATTTACTGAGGAAATTTATACACTTGACAGGTGAAATTTTTGAGATGTAGACAATTGCTAGTGAAAAAAAGTATATACATGAGAAAGTTTATACTGTGAAGTAATAAAAGAGTATGTAGATATACAAGGAAAATATAATAGCATATAGAAAATTTGAATAGGAATTATATAGCAGTTTAATTCTTTAAATAAAAGTATATCACATAATTGTGACAAAACAATGAGAGATAATTTGTCTCAGATCAAGGTGATATGTGAGCATAGAAAAAAGTAACACTGGTATCGCTTCTCAGCCTTTTGGCTAAATCAAGTGTAAAAGTAACAGTGGTTTGCACAAGAGGCCCACTTGAGGTCTTGGCTCTGCCATTTAGTAGACTTACGGCAACAGTTTCACCTTTCTACTGCTCTCTTTTCTCATATTCAAATTGTAGCAAAAAACAGCTATGCTACTAAATTCATAAGGTTATTTGAGTATCATATGTGAAAATATATGTGAAAGTTTTATAATAAAGTATATAATTATAGAACTACATTTATTCAGATATCATTGTCTTAATTTTGAGCCAAATGAATAAAGGGCTCCAATCAAGCATTTATAGAAAAATCTTCCTCTCAAATATCTCCAGTCTCTTATTAAGAACACTGATTTGCAGTAACTGAGAAGTTAAAGAATAGTAAGAGGTCAGATGCAGCTGATGGTACATCTACTACACGAAGGTAACATTTAAACTCCCATCCATTTTTTCAGGGCATCCTTCTGGCATTCATCCAGTTTCCTAAACAATGATCATGCACTCTACAAACATGTCATAATAGTGACCTAATTCTGCAGGTTGGGTATTATTTCAAAAACAAAACTGATTAGGACTCTCCATAGCACACCATCATCAACAGCTTCCCATTTTCTTGAGTGTGAATTATTTATATCTCTTGACTATGATGTGCCTTCTGATTGTCTTCCTAGGCTTTTCTCTTATGAAAATTCCCCCTCCCATACTATCCCTCCAACAGATCTGAATTACCTTCAGCTAGATAGCCACGCTTCCCAAGCTCTTAGAAAATAACATACAGTGTTGATACTGATATTCTGCCCTTATGCCCTTGTCTTTTTGTTTACCTAGAGAGAGTCTCATATTTCAAGTTCAACTTGAGGGTAGTGTTGTCTCTTCTATAGTTTCCCCTTTCCCTGGAAGGAATTGGCTACTGCAGTATAGCCTAGACATATAATTAATTCTAAAACTTACATATATACATGTAAGTTTTAGAATTAATTATATGTATATTATATATATATTATATATATGTATGTTATATATATATATATATTTAGGGAGGCAATATAGGGCAGTGTTAGGAGCATGGTTTTAGAGACAGATGGTCTATATCAGAATCTTGGCTGTTCAACCTTGTCACCGTGGGCACTATACTTAAGTTTTAAAAGTCTCAATTTTATCATCTGTAAAATAGGAGTAACAAACCGGACTCAGAGGGTTAAATAATAAACTATATTTAAACAATGTATTACAGTTCCTGCCATATAATTATTACTCCATAAATATTAGCTGGTAGTAAATCTAAGCATTAGCAGCGGCAATAATGGCAGTGGTTGTTGTTTACATGATGGTCACCTCTTTAAAAATGACAATTTTTCCACAGCGGAGTTAACGTTCATTTCATCTCATTTCATATGTTATCACTTGGTATGTCTATAAAAATGAGTATACTTACTCATCTGACAAAGGGCTAATATCCAGAATCTACAATGAACTCAAACAAATTTACAAGAAAAAAAACAAACAACCCCATCAAAAAGTGGGCGAAGGATATGAACAGACACTTCTCAAAAGAAGACATTTATGCAGCCAAAAAACACATGAAAAAATGCTCATCATCACTGGCCATCAGAGAAATGCAAATCAAAACCACAATGAAATACCATCTCACACCAGTTAGAGTGGAGATCATTAAAAAGACAGGAAACAACAGGTGCTGGAGAGGATGTGGAGAAATAGGAACACTTCTGCACTGTTGGTGGGACTGTAAACTAGTTCAACCATTGTGGAAGTCAGTGTGGCGATTCCTCAGGGATCTAGAACTAGAAATATCATTTGACCCAGCCATCCCATTTCTGGGTATATACACAAAGGATTATAAATCATGCAGCTATAAAGACACATGCACATGTATGTTTATTGCGGCACTATTCACAATAGCAAAGACTTGGAACCAACTCAAATGTCCAACAATGATAGACTGGATTAAGAAAATGTGGCACATATACACCATGGAATACTATGCAGCCATAAAAAATGATGAGTTCATGTCCTTTGTAGGGACATAGATGACGCTGGAAACCATCATTCTCAGCAAACTATCACAAGGACAAAAAAACCAAACACCACATGTTCTCACTCATAGGTGGGAATTGAACAAAGAGAACACATGGACACAGGAAGGGGAACATCACACACCAGGGACTGTTGTGGGGTGGGGGGAGGGGGGAGGGATAGCATTAGGAGATATACCTAATGCTAAATGACGAGTTAATGGGTGCAGCACACCAACATGGCACATGTATACATATGTAACAAACCTGCACATTGTGCACATGTACCCTAAAACTTAAAGTATAATAAAAATAAAATAAAAAAAAGAGTATACCTGGCACAACATGATTGGCACATTTGAACTGAGGTTTATTACCTACACTTCCCTTCTTTCGCTTGTAATACCCTATGGTGGTACACTGAAGCTATGTTTTCTTGGCTCCCTGGCTTTTAGGCTTCCAGCTAGGTTGGGTGAGTGGGAGGCGCTCATCTAACAAGGTACCTCAGCTTCTTGGGATCCAGGAGCCCCACTTTTCTCTTTGTCCCTCCAGCTCTAAGCAGGTAGGCAGCTTCTGTTGGTGGTTAACCTTAAGTTTGCCTCACCCTCCCCTGCCTGTTTTTTTGAGCTATTTTATCTAATTGTAATCATCATATTAAATTATCCATATTAAATTTCCTCTATTGATTTATCTGGTATGAATATATCTTCCCAGCTGAATCCAGTTTTTTAAATGAATGAATGAGACCTTTACTCTTAGGAGCCCACAAAGTTTAAGTAGGGACAAAATTATTAGCTTTCTCTTTTTCAAAGGGTTGTGTAAGATCAAGGAGCATCCTGCAGATAAAAGCATTTTGAAACTATAAATTATTACACAAATACTTTTTTTGTTCTTCATATTTTTAATTGTGAAGGAACAAGTTAGCTTCACTGGTCTAAAGTAGCAATGTGCTAAAAGATAACAAGGTCTTCCAATGACACCATGCCTGTAATTTACATGGCAGATTAAAGGGAAACACAAAGTCCAAGAGAAAACTGCGTTTGGCATAGCAGAAATTTTATGACCTCATAAGTCAGAAGATCCTGATATAAATGGTGAAAATTATGATTTCGCTGAAGACAAGAAACTACTTGGAAGACAGCCAACCTAGACTTTGCTTCAAGTTTTAATTTTGCAGATGAGCAATCACATTAAACTGTACACGAATTCATGCAGTTGCAGGTTATATTATCAACTTGAGGATAAAACAAAACAAAATGAAACATAAAAGCTTCGCTTAAGACATCCAATTTTCAAGTAATATTTTTAGTTCTGACTTGAGATATAAAGCAGCTATCTAAAACAGAATAAAATAATTAATCAAGACAGTGATTAAGACATTTTAAATAACATTTTTTAAGAAGCTACATAATTGTGAAATCCAAATAAAGTCTGTAGTTAATAGATGTGTACCACTGACAATTTCCTTGTTTTGATAATATATTCTGGTTATGTAAGGTTAGTTACCATTGGGGGAAACTGGGTGAAGAATACAAGGGAACTCTGTACTATTTTTACAACTTCTGGATAATCTAAAATTATTTCAAAATAAAAAGTTAAAAAAAACCCTTGTGCTTAGCACACCAGAAATAATCTATTAAGAAGTTGAAGTACAAAGTTTATAGCCTCGTAAGGACTGTCTACGTGAAACTGAAAATGGAGTTCTTACATGGCTATATAAATAAGGTGCTCATCCATTTCTTAATCACTCCACAAACATGTACTCTCAAGCGGTATGCATTGGATTGATTGTAATATTTTCCTCCTGACTTCCTTTGGGAGATGCTCTATCTTCTTTTCTAATCCTTTCCTCATTTGGCCATGAGTTTCAAATAACCTAAACACTTCTGCTTGAAGGTTTAGTCATCTCTGATGAACATACAAAGACAACTAGTTACCAAATCCTCCACAGATCAGTTTTCAAAATAACAAACAACGTATCTATGAATTAACCATGAGGCACTGGTCACCGTCCCATTATATCTCCTCTTGGGTTACATGTATAGCTTGTCTGAGACTAGACAAAGAAGAAAATAGTGGGACAAATAGCAGTTTCATTCTCAATGATGCAGCTGTTAGGGAATGAACTTCTAAATCTATTAAAGGGGATTCCACTCGGAGTATGAATATCCCTGCAGTTACTCAGGATGATTTCTTATTCTAAGATCTAACAGTGAAAAGGGGCTATGCAATGTAAAACAACCAGTTTTCACTTTCTTTAGATGGGAACAAATATATGTATACTTTTCTCTGATTAAATGGAATTCTTCAAGCTGAAAGTCATTATTTTCAAAGAAAAATACACTCTTAGGGAAACTTCTCTGTAGGATAAAAAAAGTGTTTCTTCTGTGGTTTTATTTCCTGCTGAAACATTCTTCCCATCACACAGGAATAGCTAGAATAAGAAGTAGGGAAATAAAGAAGTCAGTACACTCTCTTTCTCTCTCATTTCCTCCATTGTATGTAAAACATTGTCAGGAGCACATCATCTGTAGCATGAATAAATGCTGTGTGACTCTCAGAAAATTCTTAGCCTCTCTCTAAGCCTCAGATTTAAAAAATAACACCTAATGTTTAATGTCTGTGATTAGCCTAGATTAATTTGGCACAGTGCTTGGCATATGAAAAGCTCCATTCTTTCTGAAAGCTAGAAAGTCGGAGGCAGACATACTACTAAGACCTGCCTTCTTTCCACTGATGATTTGATATGCCAAACGTTGTTAAATCCTCCCTGCAGTAGTGGTTTATGGTATGTCAGTGTAAGTCTTCTGCAATGGTTACATAATCTCTGTCTGTAACAGGGCTTCCAGATCTTCAGTGACCCCATGTTGCCCAGGCAGCATCATATGGAAACTGTGTGCTTCTCTTCAGGACTCTAGGGAAGGGGCATGTTTGTGGGGAGAATGAGGGGGGAAAGATAACTCTGCTACATCTGCTATAGCTTTCTAAGGCCACTTTGTTTTAATTGTGATTTTATTTACCTTCTCTGTTACACACACACACACACACACACACACACACATAATATATACATATATACAATACAAAATGTCTGGAGACTTAATGTTGCCCAGGCAGCCATATATGGGCAGTATCATGCCTCTGTTATGTATATATGTGTGAGTGTGTGTGTGTATACACACACACGTAATATGTACGTGTATATAATTTTAAAAAATCATTGTTAATAAAGTGGGTGATCTCTTCTTTAGCTGAGAGTAGGTGATTTCTTCTTGCCAAGTCATCACCCACTAAAATCGCTGCAGCTCCCAGTGACTGTTTGCTGCATTACCATTGGCTTATTTTTTCACGGTTGGCTCATCTTCATTTGTGACCAGAAACAGGGTTCCCATTTGCTACACTGATCCTTGGAAGCCTAACTGAGAAACAATGATCATACTGTTTGGGTTAAGTCCAAACCAGAAGTGCCTTCTGTGCTCCACCAGATGGCAATCCTGCATCAGAATGGGGGAAAATGGGGACTGGAGAGAGGTAGTATTTTGGATATATAAGTATATAGTTCTGGTATTTTCTGCAATGGGAAAAACTGACAAACACGCAGGTTGGCTCAGTGAGAAATGTAGTGTAGGTGTTTTGTAAAAACTCATCACAAGTGCTCTGCAAAGTTCAGAAAAAAGCAAACAATTGGAACTGCCTGAATTAAAATTATGCCGATGACTAACAAGTCTGTGCTACATGACACTGGAAGAGTTGAAAACACATCTACAAAACATACAGTGTGTTCAAGTTTGTGGTTATAGTCACTATCTGCATTTGTTTAGTATTCTAAATATACCTGTGTTTCATAGCGAGGAATTGTCTTAACTTTTGCATTTGGAAAGTGGGCATGACAATACATTGCTGGTAGAATTAAGAGATAATGTGTACATGTACATGAACAAGCTATAAAGAATTGATATAAAGAGATTTTAAAGATCTAGTTTTTCCAACAACATAAGGTATATGAAGCTTTTCCACTTGTCACTTATAGCAGCCTTCACCATGTACTAGACTAGATAACCTTACCCATTCCCTGGAGAAATCCAGTCCAGAATCTCTAACACATTGCTCATGCCTGTAGTCTGGCTCTGCTCCAAGACAATGTCATTTGCTGGCAGAAAGTGATGCTAATGAAATAGCATCTACTTCAGGATGCCTGATGTGATGTCTGTGACTGGCTAAAAGGCCAGTTCCATAGACAAGAATAAGTAGAGTCAACATTTGTAGTCTTTTACATACTGAAACTTAATGCTACATTGGCATCAACAGGCTTTGTTGGTTCATTGCTTAAAGGATGTTCTAGCTTACTAGATCGGGATGGTTTTGCTTTCCTTGCTTAGCAAGATTGCATTTTCCAGCATGTTTCAAACATCAGCTGAAACAAAACTTGCCATCAGCTATCAAATCGGTATTTTTGTGGCAGACCCTGTGTACATGTCTATGCATGAATTCTCTGGACCTTCATCTCTTCTCAGTTGGGAGTCAGCTTAAAACACCTTTGAGAGATCATTTAAAATATTTTCCACAGATATATATTAGCATATCTGCTCATGTTTAGTAGTCGTTTTTTTTTTTTTTTTTTTTAGATCCCAGAGAGATCAATTGATTGCTTCCTAATCCCTTTGGTCCCATTAGCAATTTTTTTTAGTACTAAAGAAGGGCATATTTATTTTAGCCATTCACTATAACTTTCTATGTGTCCAAAGATATTTTTCCCTTACACCTGTGCCTTTTATCCCTGATCATTCTGGTTATTACTGGTCGTTAATATGGGTTTTTACTTTGGCTCTCTAATACAAATTTATCTTGCATAACCAAAGTATAGAGATATTCACAGCAGGAAAAATAATTTGCCAAAAAAAATATATTTCTACATTCCTAGCAGAATTTTGGGTCAGGCATCTTTTTCTATTTAGGATATGTAACCAAAATGTTGACGTTTGAAGATAATTGCTAATTGCATCATAGTGCAAGTGAACCAAGGTCAATTAATTTAACATGATGCTTGTTGGCAATGGCAAAAGGTTATATCACTGTGCTTTCAGAGACAAGAACACACACTTACATGCTATTACAGTGCGGGGTTCTATATTCCTTGCACACAGGGGAAGGCATCAAGATGCAGCTTATCAAACTTCAAATTATGAAAGTTGGATTGTATTATACCACAGAAGCAAATCTTGCACATTGTATATTAAATCAGTTTTTTAAAAGGGCTGTTTTACAATATTTTCTATAATCAAGCAGCTAAATGGGTCATAGTATAATAGTTTATACATTTTTCCTAACCCAAAGACCACGTAAAAATTTGACCTAATTAAAGATCTGTAAAGAGCTTTTAAATTATTCTACTAAGGTGAATTTTGCTTAGTTATGAAATGAGGTTTAAGGATTCCTTTTTGATTATTTCATGTAAAAATCTTCAAGAAAATTAAAGAAGATTAATAGCTTTAGAAACAAAGGTGACACAGACTACAGCTTTTCATTGTGAATACCCACTATAATCTGCAATATCATTTTTCTTAGATTTGTTTACTTTCCATTATTCATAATTGCTTCTTTTAATTGGACCATGCTAGCTCCGTTTAGACTCCCTCTGAGAGTGATGTTGGCAGAAATGATTGGCAGTTCTCTCTCCCACACGGTGCCATCCTGAAATTGCAAATGTCAGTTAGCAGGCTTCTCTCACCAATGTTTAAGAGTGGGAGTCTGCATTTAGCAGAAAGTAGTCTGGGTGCACATATTTCTGAATAAATACATGTGAAATTATGCATTCAAATTATGGAATAAAAGGACTGAAGGAAAACCAGAGGGGTCATACCCCATTCATGCCACAGACTTCAGGTTCCTAGTTTATTCCTCAGCCACAAGGCATATGAAACTTTATTCTATTTCTGAGAATCATCATATGTAACCCCACCACAGTTGTCTACGTCTATGTCTGAATTAAATTTGCAAGGATTTCTTTTAATATCATGACTTTTTGAACTAAGGCTCTTATTAGAGTCTCTGACCAGAAATAAAGTGGCAATTCTCAGTCCCTTACCTCATTAATTTTCATACCTAGCTAAAAATTGAGTGCTATTAAGCAGTGAAATGGCCAATATATTAGGGAAGTAGGATAAGCAGAAGCTGTTGCAGAAACAGAGCCTATGTTTGTCACAGTCTCTGGATCATGACAGAATATTCATTCTACGCACTAAAAGCATGTAAGGAAAATTCTCAGTCACCTTAATGGATGCTGAAATGACACAGCACAATTCTACATCGACTCCCCAAATTCTTATTTGTGATACCTCTAAAAGCAACAAAAACACAATGTAGTATTTAATTAATGCTATATGAATACAATGGCTTTATAGTAAATCAGTTGGATGTTTTTCTAAAAAAGAAAGAACCAAAAAAGACAAAGAAAAAGAAAAATACTTTTGGCAGCCAGGCTGCCTGGATTCAAAATGAATTAAGGAGGAGAAGAGGGGAAATTTCTCATGGCTAGGTCATAATTTGTGTTGACTGAAGCAAAGAAGCCTGTGACTGGGTCAGATAAAAGGAGACGTAAAACACAAAATGGAGTCTTGCTATTCTTACCTGTTGTTTTGAAATCTCAGAGAAGAAACTTTTGAATCAGTTGCAGGGTTCCTACCCTAGGCCAGTCACCATTCTGAGTGCTTTATAAGTATTAACTCATTTAACCTTGGATATAAAGGACAAGCATGAGATTTGGGCCCCTCTTTGGAAGTATGGCATGAAAACATTTTCTGGCCAGCTGCTATCTGGAAGTCTTGCACAGAGAAATTGACATTCCTGCCTTAATCTTGTCTTCTCCCTGAAAAAAGACACTGTCCAGTTCTCACTCTCTATAACCACGTCTAGTGACCCACAGCAGCCTGGGGATCACACATGGCCCTTGGTGCACGGGGCAGCCACATTTGCTGTTCCTTAGCTAGCCGGTAGTGTTCACTCATGTTAACTTTTCCTGCCTGGGTCCTTTTTCATCTTGACTCCCATTGACTCCTCCCATGCCAGGAGCCACTGGGAAATGCAGACTGGAGTTGAAGTGGGTAGTCACAAGAAAACTAACATTAAAAGACTTTTTTTTTTTTTTTTAACAAGCAGCTTGTCAGAGCTATGGAAGTAAGGGTTTGATGGAACTTATTTAATCCTCACAAGAAAGGTTCTTCTTATCTTCACTCTAAGGCCACAGGCAGGAGCCATTCACCTTTCTTTATGCCCTGCCTAGGTTAGTCTTTTAAACAACTAGAATGCCTTTTGCCTCAATAAAATGTTGTCTTCCAGAACTCCTCCTTCCAAAACCTTGCAGGACGAAAGCATATTTATAGAGCAGTATTCTGCATAGTGGCTGAAATACATCTGTTGAATCCTGAGTATTTTTTTTTGCTAGAAATGTGTTTATTTCTGTGATAGACTTATTGATAGAATCTTACTGTTTTAAACTCCATTCACATGAAAATTAGTGTTTTATAATAACATATTTTGGAAGCCAAATGGAATGGATTCCCAGGCCTCCTATTCTATTTCAAATCTTTTGGATGTTTTTTAGAAACAAATAAGTAACTGAAGCATTACCTTCTTCTGAACAGAAAGATCACTAAATAAAGAAAAAAGAAAGAAAAAAGCAATAAATATAAAAAGGCAGCATGCTAATACCTACTATCCATAATAGGTTTCCTGTAATAAAAAGTACCTGAAAATATGTGTAATTACAAAAGCAAAACTGAGGGGAATTTAACCTAGTTTCATTTGGGGGTTATTAAAGCTAAACACATATATTCCTGGAACAACTCCAAGAAGACCATTATTAGAAAATACCGTGAAAACTTTAGGAATTTCATATTCCCCCCACCAAAAAAAAAAAAAAAAATAGGCATAGTGGAAGATTCAGTATTATCTGCCTAAAAAGACATTAGGTTGCATAAAATAGATTATTAAAATTATTTAATCAAATTTTTTCCTGCTTCCTACACTACCTTTGTTCCTTTCTTAGAACCAAAGACTTGATAATATGAGGAATCACAGGAAAGCCTCATTTATTCAGGAATACCTAAGTTCACACAAGGTAATTTTCTAAAAAAAAAAATAACATTTTAAATACTAAGTTTTATGAACTTTTAAAATGCTTTTATGACAGAAATCTGAAATATATTAGACATCACTCTGTCTTCTTTGCAAAGAAAATACATTGCATGTAATTTTACATGTTTGTGTGTAATTTAGATGTCAAGGCCCTTCATCGTCTTTTCCAGCTCTCCTCTTAGTTAATACATGGACAGCCCCACCTTGCCCATTATGCATCCCATGCCCCTCCTTAAGCTTCTCCAGGAGGCTTTCTTTTTCCCTCTATCTTACATCTAAGTCTCCTTAAGCTTCTCAAGGAGCCTTTCTTCTTCTATCTTACATCTAAGTCTCCAGGTCTTGCTGCTACCGTAATGAGCCCAAGTTTTATTTCCAGGTCCCATTTCTAGTCTTAGCTTATACATCTCTTCCCATGGAGGTCTTTCCTGATCCTCCAAATCTGGACTATGTCTTATTCCTGAGTTCTCATAGCACAATGTACTTTCCACAACAACTTATTACACAGTATTTGTAACTACCTGTTTAGTTGTTTGTGTCTTTCATTGAACATCAGACAAATGGAGAGAGCATAAATTTCTATCTTAATCACATTTTTAAATCTCTAGTGTTAGTACAGTGGCCAACACTTAGTAGATGTTTAATAAATGTTGAATTAATGAATGCATGAATGAACACAAATTATCTCACTACGCACTAATAATGGGTTCTCTCAAGGTTTATGAACTGAGTATCATTACAAGTTCTTACTAGTTTTACTGATGTCTCTTCATTCAGATAGTTGGGGCTCTTTAGGACTGTATAAATTTTGCGCACATAGTACAGGGTAGAAGAAAGAATCTGCATTCATTCTGTTAAACAGCAGTGAGAAGAGCTGGATTTGTGTCCTGGCTCTGCCACTTACAAATTGGGCAACATTAGAAAATTGCCTAGTTTCTTTAAACCCCAACTTCTTTGTTAAATGAAAAAGTAATATTGAACCTATAAGTTGTGGCTGAGAAAAAATAAGACAGGCAATGTTTGTAGAATATGTTTGTTTGTTTGTTTAAGACAGATCCTCACTCTGTTTCCAGGCTGGAGTGCAATGGAGCAATCATAGCTCACTGCAGCCTCGACCTCCTGGGCTCAGGTGATCCTCCCACCTCAGACTCCCAAGTAGCTAGGACTAAAGGCGTGTACTACCATGCCTGTCTATTTTATTTTTATTTTTTATTTTTGTGTGTGTATGTATATATATATATATATATATATATATATATATATATATTTTTTTTTTTTTGTTTGTTTGTTTGTTTGTTTGTTTGTTTTTAGAAATAGGTTTTCACCATGTTGCCCAGGGTGGTCTTAAACTCCTGGGCTCAAGTGATGTGCCCACCTCGGCCTTCCAAAGTGCTGGAATTACAGGCATGAACTACCACACCTGGCCTGTTTGTTTGTTTTTACAAGGTATAAAGGCTATTTCTGTAGTGTTTGTAATTAATATTAGTAATTTGTGTCGAGATGTTTATGATACTTTAGCTTGAATCTGTTTCAAATGTCTTGACTTTTCTCATTAGAGTACTGGCAAAATAAGACTTTTCTCAGAATTGATTACTGGTATGGTATTTCATTACTGGCAAGTTTGTTCTTTTTTAAGGCATAAGTCTCAGATGCTTTTTTAAAGCTGAACATATTTGCTTCCAAATCTGCAACTGGAATTTCACAGAGCCTTCCAAAACCCAATCCGCAGTTTCAGGAGACTCATACAACATCTCAAGCAGAGTCCTATGAATACCTCAAAAATTCAAATCTGAAATTACCTGACTCCATTTCTGAAATCTACTTATCCATCCATCTTCTGTATTTCCCTAAATGGCTTCACCATCCCTTCACTTACCCAGGTTCTAAGTTTCACCTCTAGCCCTCCCATTCTTTATCCCTATCACCTACCTTTCCTTGTGCACCCAATCAATTGCTAGGCCTTTTCAGTTTTGCATCTGCAATACTTCACAGCAGTCTTCTCCATTTCAATCTCACTACTCTTTCCCTAGGATATTGCCATAGCTTCCTAACTGATTACCTGGTTTAGGTTCTTTGCATTCCAATTCCTCCTACTAAGTGCTGGTAAAGCAATATTCCATTGTTAAAGTACAACTTCTCCTCAAAGTAGTCCTCTTCTAATAAATAGAAGCAAGTGACAAGCAGAGCTGTAGAGGTGTTAATGCCTTCCCACTTCCAGAGAAGGTCACATTGCTTATCAAACACTCAAAATGCTGTGCGGGCTGATTGCAATTGAACCTGGAAAACCACCGATTTCCCCTCAAGTTCTATATATTTTCTCTGTTCTGCAACCTTTCCTTCCCCTTGCAGGTCAGACAGAAGATGATCAGAAAACCCCTTCCCTACCCACACTATCTAACCTAACACCCCCAGGACATGTCATTCTGTTTCTCCTTAATGCTGCTATATTTTTCTTCATGACATTTGAAATTACATGATATTGCTAACTTGCTTGTTTGCTTGCTTCCTATTTCTCTCTCCTTTTTAGAATGTAATCTCACTGAGCACTGGGACTTTGTTTCATTACTGCTGTATTGTCAGTATTTAGAACAATGTGTGTATGACTCACAGTAGGTAATAAATATTCATTAAATGAATGAATATGACTATTGTCTTTAAAAGGGGATCAGCTAACATGTCATTTAAATCTCTTCAATTAGAAGGTAATTCTATATATGAGCAAACATATGTATGTGTGTGTATACATATATGTGTGTGTGTGTGTGTGTGTGTGTGTATATATTCCCTAGCACACATAGCATGGTCTGTAACACTTTATAGATGTTTGATAAATGGTGAGTCAACTTTAATTATGTGCACACATTGGGTCTTCAATTTTTATTATTGTTCCCTTTTCAACTTCTTATGAAAAAAAAGAAGAAAACACTGTGCATTCAATAATTTTGTTTTTGTAGTCCCCAAATTTGTCATGGAATTTGAAACATTCCATAATGAAAATAAAAGTTTACATAGCAAAAATTTAAAATTAAATATTAACATAATGCAATATGAGCCACTAATGGATGCACTCATCATTTGATTTCGGTGAGAGAACCTTCACATAGGATTCATGAACTAAGAGAAAGAAATTGCATTTACCAACAGCCAGCCATGTGCCAGTCACATTACACAATACCACTTTTCCAAATTGATAATAATGCTAAGAGGCAGCTCAGAGATACTAACTTTTAGTGCCTAATAAGGAACTCATAAATATTTTCTGAATAAATGAGGAATTCCCTAATGTCACAAAACAAAAGATTAAGGATGTGCAGTCAGGTGTGTCTGACTGTGGGACTCAATTCTCCTCATGAAGCCACTATCTGTGCCAATTCTCAGGGATCACAATCTATGGGATCCAGCATTAGCCCCACCTCAAACCTCAAATTTCTAGAATTTCAGTTTCCTCTTATTTATAATTACTCTTCTAGTTAGAATAAAATAAGATCTAAAAATAATACTATGCTATATTCTTAAAACTGAGGACAAACCCTTACCTCTTACTTTTAGGACACAATGAAGAGGTCTGAATGATAGAAAGAACAGAGTATAAGTATTCCTTGAAAATAATCACCAACCCATTTGAGTAACAGAATCTCTGAATGAGGAGAAAATTAATTATTTCATCTAGATTGCTGGTGGATATGGTGTCAGTAGTGTGGATCAAACAAAAAACAGACATGTCTCCCAATTGTTCTATCAAAAGTTTTAGTTGCCTTTGTGTTTTTGGCACACATTAGGTTTCAGATGCTAATGAGATGCAGAAAGGCAACAAATAATGTGCAAAGTGACGAGAAGAGGGTCTGCATATTCCCAACCTTATATCTCAAGACAGAGATGTACATTACCAAAATTGCAACACCAGTGATTTTGGCAACCACTTATCAGACTGTGTTGTTGTTCCCTTAATGTATTCCTTCCAGAGTGCCTATCTCACTGGCCAAATAATCAATAAGAGCCCTGGGATAAAACTGAGAATGGAGTATCAGAATCCAATTACTGAGGTTTGTGTATAAAACACCAGAAAACAAAGTACACAGATTTCTTTTTCTCTTTCTATTAAGATAATAAAAGACAGTGGTTGTCAGTTGAAAATGAAGATAGCCAGAGTAATTCAAAATATTGGAAGCATAACAATATGCCATGCCATGTTTTAAATAATTGAGCTTCAGTTAATTTCAACAGGAAGTCATGAACAATTTGGAAAATTCATCAGTGTTAAATCCTCAACTTATCCCATTTTGACTAAGAGGAGACAGAGTTTAGATATGAGTTCTTACCTGATTGATATCTATTATTTTTTGAAAAAAGTTAATAAAAATAATTTCAATTTTTCTCTCAGAACTTCGTTTAGGAAGAAATAAAAAAGATTAAAACTTTTAACTTAAAGAATCTCAAATTTTTAATCAGAATAAAGACTTATTTATTTTGTGTGTGTGTACTTTAAGTTTTGGGATATGTGTGCAGAAGGTGCAGACTTCTTACATAGGTATACACGTGGCATGGTGCTTTGCTGCACCCATCAACCCATCACCTACATTAGGTATTTCTCCTAATGTTATCCCTCCCCTAACCCCCCAACCTCCAACAGGCTCCAGTGTGTAATGTTCCCCTCCCTGTGTCCATGTGTTCTCATTGTTCAACTCCGACTTATGAGTGAGAACAAGCGGTGTTTGGTTTTCTGTTCCTGTGTTAGTCTACTGAGAATGATGGTTTCCAGCTTCATCCATGTCCCCACAAAGGACATGAACTCATCTTTTTTATGGCTGCATAGTATTCTATGGTGTATATGTGCCATATTTTATTTATCCAGTCTATCATTGATGGGCATTTGGGTTGGTTCCAACTCTTTGCTATTGTGAATAGTGCTGCAATAAACACACATGTGCATATGTCTTTATAGTAGAATGATTTATCATCCTTTGGGTGCATACCCAGTGATGGGACTGCTGGTTCAAATGGTATTTCTGGTTCTAGATCCTTGAGGAATCACCACACTGTCTTCCACAATGGTTAAACTAATTTACATTCCCACCAACAGTGTAAAAGCATTCCTATTTCTCCACATCCTCTCCAGCATCTCTTGTTTCCTGACTTTTTAATGATCACCATTCTAACTGGCATGGGATGGTATCTCATTGTGGCTTTGATTTGCATTTCTCTAATGACCAGTGTTGATGAGCTTTTTTTTCGTATGTTTGTTGGCTGCATAAATGTCTTCTTTTGAGAAGTGTCTGTTCATATCCTTTGCCCACTTTTTGATGAGTTTTTTTTTTTCTTGTAAATTTGTTTAAGTTCCTTGTAGATTCTGGACATTAGCCCTTTGTCAGATGGATAGATTGCAAAAACTTTCTCCCATTCTGTAGGTTTCCTGTTCACCCTGATGATAGTTTGTTTTGCTGTCCAGAAGCTCTTTAGTTTAATTAGATCCCATTTGTCAATTTTGGCTTTTGTTGCCATTGCTTTTGGTGTTTTAGTCGTGAAGCCTTTGCCCATGCCTATGTCCTGAATGATATTGCCTAGGTTTTCTTCTAGGGTTTTTATGATTTTAGGTCTTGCATTTACATCTTTAATCCATCTTGAGTTAATTTTTGTGTAAGGTGTAAGGAAGGGGTCCAGTTTCAGTTTTCTGCATATGGCTAGCCTGTTATCCCAACACCAATTATTAAGTAGGGATTCCTTTCCCCCATTGTTTGTTTTTGTCAGGTTTGTCAAAGATCAGATGGTTGTAGGTGTGTGGTGTTTTTCTGAGGCCTCTCTTCTGTTCCCTTGGTCTAGATATCTGTTTTGGTAACAGTACCATGCTGTTTTGGTTACTGTTGTCTTATAGTATAGTTTGAAGTCAGGTTGCGTGATGCCTCCAGATTTGTTCTTTTTGTCTAGGATTGTCTTGGCTATATGGGCTCTTTTCTGGTTCCATATGAAATTTAAAGTAGACTTTTCTAATCCTGTGAAGAAAGTCAGTGGTAGCTTGATGGGGATATCATTGAATCTATAAATTACTTTGGGCAGTATGGCCACTTTCACAACATTGATTCTTCCTATGCATGAGAATAGAATGTTTTTTCCATTTGTTTGTGTCTTCTCTTATTTCCTTGAGCAGTGGTTTGTAGTTCTTATTGAAGAGGTCCTTCACATCCCTTGTAAGTTTTATTCCTAGGCATTTTATTCTCTTTTTAGCAATTTGAATGGGAGTTCACTTATGATTTGGCTCTCTGTTTATCTAACATTGGTGTATAGGGATGCTTGTGATTTTTGCACACTGATTTCGTATCCTGAGACTTTGCTGAAGTTGCTTATCAGCTTAAGGAGACTTGGGGCTGAGACGATGGGGTTTTACAAACATAGAATCATGTCATTGCAAACAGAGACAATTTGACTTCCTCTCTTCCTATTTGAAGACCCTTTATTTCTTTCTCTTGCCTGATTGCCCTGGTCGGAACTTCCAATACTATGTTGAACAGGAGTGGTGAGAGATGGCATCTTTGTCTTGTGCCAGTTTTCAAAGGGAATGCTTCCAGCTTTTGCCCATTCAATATGATATTGGCTACGGGTGTGTCATAAATAGCTCTTATTATTTTGAGATACGATCCATCAATACCTAGTTTATTAAGAGTTTTTAGCATGAAGGGGTGTTGAATTATATCAAAGACATTTTCTCCATCTAATAAGATAATCATGTAGTTTTTGTCATTGGTTCTGTTTATGTTACGGATTATGTTTAATGATTTGCATATGTTGAACCAGCCTTGCATCCCAGAGATAAAGCTGACTTGATCATGGTGGATAAGCTTTTTGATGTGCTGCTGGATTCGGCTTGCCAGTATTATTTTAAAAGAAAAAATTGTGTAGCTCTTAATCCCTGGAATTTCTTAACTTGCAGATTCCTGCTTTGGAAGAACATTCTAATTCACAAAACTTAAAAAATTGATTTGGCCTACTCTATTTCTATATCAATAATATAAAGATACTTATACAAATGATTTATACCTCTAGAAATATACAATTAAGGAGTTAAAATGAAAGCACTTTAAAAGAACGCTTATTTTAATGGAAGTCTGGAGTTATAAAGTATATAAAAAATATAGAGAAAATTTACTTAATCTGACATGAGAAAATACGACCATGACTAGTCAAAATGTATATGCAATTCCAAAAAAGAGTGTAATAACAATTTTTTTTGAGAACCATGGATGAAAAACCAGTATGTTACAAATGAATTATTGTCTCATAAACAAATTTCATTGTGATTTAATCTCTACATAACTAGTTGTGTTTTTAATCATATACAGATACTATATATTTGCAGCATAAATAAGCTGCAACTTTTTTATAAAGATGATTTTTCATGGCTATAGCTTTTGAAGTTTATTCAAGTTTGACTAGTAAATTCTCATGAAGAGTGGGACAAGAAGTAAAAAAGTTGTAAGATTACAACTAATTGGAATCATTTAGTATACATGTTTACAATAGTTTTTAAGGAAATGTTTTATTAAAACAATCAAGAAAACATAAATCAAGTAAATATAAAATTATATTCAAAATAGCCTCATCTAGGAAGTCTTAGCAATCACATTAAAGCAAAAATAATATGCCATTTTTATCCACTAAATTAAAATTGTTCATAAGATCTGCAATTCAAGATCTAAAAATAAAGTGGTAGTAAAAGTCATTCACTTTCATAAATAGAACTATTGAGTGTATAAACCGACATAACCTCTGTAAAACAGTGGTCAATATACGTATGGTCCTTGAAAAAGTTCATACTACGTATGAAGGAACTAGTATAGTACCTACAGTGAAATGTTTAACCAAAAAATAAAAATCATTTAGTAGAAAACATGCAACATTGAAAATAAATAATCTGAGCATTCAATGAAATAAGCTAAAAAAGAAAAACAGAATTAACACAAGAAGTTTAAGAAAAAGTAACAATTAAGAGAAATACATAAATAAATGAAACAGAAATTATCAACAAAAACCACAATTGAGGTGGCCAACCAAAATAATTTACTGCTTTTTGGAAAAGACCTAAAAGAAATCTGGCAAGACCATATAAAAATTAAATACATCCACGCATGATACGAAAAATGTGAAATGAATATAATGGCATATAAATTTGTGATTTTAGAATAGACAAGCTATTATTAAGGTATACCAAAAAATTTCAAAAAACTGAATAAATAAAACATTTTTTTCAGACACATGTAAATATATAGAAATACATAACTTACCAAAATTGACCAAGAATAAAAACAGTTACCTAGTCCGGGAGCTTTTGTAGGGATTTTTCATAATTTCATGAAATAGATATTCTTCATCTTATACACACTATTTCATACTATAGGAAAAGAGGCAAAACTGTCCAATTTTATGATATTAGTATAACTTTGATCTTAGGACTAGGCATAGTATCACATGGGAATAAAATTATAAGCTTTTCAAACTTATAAATAAAGATGAATATAATAAGACAAGACCCTTGCAGGGATCAATAATTATAGCACACTATGAACTAAGAAGCATAATTAACCCTCTGCTCCAGGTGTGTGTGTGTGTGTGTGTGTGTGTGTGTGTGTGTGTGTCTATAAGAATATATACAGGACAAGAAAGGTTTTTGCAATGATGATCTAAATTTAGAAAAATCTACCAATGTAATTTCATCACATAAAGAACAGAAAATGCGATCGGTGTTAATAGGCGGATAAAATGTCTTTGATGATCTTTAATGCCTATGCATGACTACAAAATATTTTAAAAATTAGGGGTAGAAAGTAACTTCCTTAAAATTAAACATTGTTTTCTGCTTCACAAAACAGACAGACCTGAAATAAACATCATCCATAATTGGTATAATTTTATAAACATTTCATAATTGAATACATTAATATTTGCTATTGATTTTGCTATTCAACATTATAAAGAGGTCCAATGAGGGCAAAAAGATAGTAAAAATAAAGAAAGAACATAAAAGTCATAAAGCACACTCAAAATTAAAACATTATTCAGGAAACAGACATTTATGGTCTTCACATGAACCCTGAGAATCTATAGACAAACTCTGAGAATTATTAAGAGGCAAGAAGTTGCTGGATTGAAGGCCAACATGCTAAATTCAGTAACATTACATTATATCAGCAGTTACCAAATCAAAATTTTAGCAGGCAAATTAAAGAGTAACATTTCCTAAGATATTCCAAAATAAACTTTACCAAAATATGAAACACTTTGTTAATGAAGTTACACATTTCTATCATTTCCATTGAAGGACATAAAAGAAGACATAAATAAACGAGGCCACGCACCATGTTGAAACATTTCAAGATATTAATTGATTTAAGTTAATCAATGAATTCAAATCTAATCACAATCCTGATGAAAATTAAATTATTTGAGAAATTTTTGACATGAGGATAACTATTAAATAAAAAAGAATATAATTTTAAAGGACAATTTTAAAAGGCTTCCATCTCTATCTTCACACTTCCTGTGAAACTCTCATCTTCATTGAGACATGGTGCATTATTATATTTTCTTTTACTGGTGCTGCTTTTGTGGTTCCTCTTGATAATCCGGTCTTTATTTATGATTCTGGTTTTCAAACTTCATGCTCACTTTCAGAGTCTGCTCGAGCAGTCTGATATCTCCTGTTCACCTGAGCCAAAGTGGTCACTTTCAGTCTTTTGCTGAGTGGATTTTGATGCTTCAGTTCTAAGTTCCTTTGATTTCCTTGAGAAGATCATACATACTTCTTTATTCTTTTCATCTTCATTTTTTATAGTAGTCATGGTCAGTTTGGTATCCTGTGTATCAATGGTATCAATCATCATATTCTTTATTTCTTTTTTCTAACAGTATCTTCATATTCTCCAAAACTCTGGCATTTCCTGTCTGTACTTGTCCTGGAATCTCATTTAATAGAACCAGATCTTGGCAAGAACATTAAATACTGATGGTCGAGATCGCATGAGAGAGTAATTGTGGACAAAAATTTGATAAAGTCCAATGCCTATTTCATGTCTAAAAATTTTATTTATTTATGTATGTATTTGAGGCAGGGTCCCAACTTGTCACCCAGGCTGGAGTGCAGTGGTGCATTTCAGCTCACTGCAACCTCTGGCTCTCAGGCTCAAGTGATCCTCCTGTCTCAGCCTCCTGAGTAGCTGGGACTACAGACACACTCCAACACACCAGGTTAATTTTTGTAGTTTTGGTAGAGGCAGTGTTTCACCATGTTGCCCAGGCTGGCCTTGAGCTCCTGGGCTCAAGCAATCAGCCTGCCTCGGCCTCCCAAAGTCCTGGGATTACAGGTGTGAGCCACCACCACCGCCACCGCACCGGCCTCATGTCTAAAAATATTACATAAAAAAAGAAAATTTCTTCAAGTAAAGAAAAATAGCAACTCTTCTAAAACAAAAAAATATAAAGTGTGATTATCCTTAATGGTCAATCTTCAGATGCATTACCTTTAAATTCAGAAACAAGATAGAAATACCCGCCATCACTTCTGATAACATCTAGTTAACATTTAAAATGTGCATCCCTTATCATTCAGTAATTCTACCAGCCTTTAATATGAGCAAAACATAGGTATATTAAAATTTCATGTTAACTTATTTGTAATAGGGGAAAAATCAATAAGCAATATGAATGCCTACCAAGGTGACATTAAATGAATAAAATAGGAGTAGCATGTCTTTTTCAATGATTAAAGTATAACAGTTAAAAGAAGTGGCCAGGCACAGTGGCTGATGCCTGTAACCCCAGCACTTTGGGAGGCCAAGGCGGGCGGATCACCTGAGGTCAGGAGTTCAAGACCAGCTTGGCCAACATGGTGAAACCTCATCTCTACAAAAATATAAAAATTAGCTAGGCATTATGGTGGGCGCCTGTAATCCCATGTACTCGAGAAGCTGAGGCAGGAGAATCGCTTGACCCTGTGAGGCAGAGGTTGCAATGAGCCAAGATCGTGCCATTGCACTCCAGCCTGGGTGACAGAGCCAGACTCCATCTCAAAAAAGAAAAATTTATCTCCTAAATGAACACATGTATGTGTATGTTTGTGAGTATCAGAAATATCAACTAGTTGTT
Source organism: Homo sapiens (assembly GCF_000001405.40). Classification (NCBI taxonomy): domain Eukaryota; kingdom Metazoa; phylum Chordata; class Mammalia; order Primates; family Hominidae; genus Homo; species Homo sapiens. The sequence goes on along the minus strand of NC_000006.12, from coordinate 68,763,031 downwards.
ATAGTATTAATTAATTAAAACAACCTAAATGACCACAAACAAGGAATGTTTTAAATGAATGTATGGAGTCAGGCTAAGTTTTAAATTCTGACTCTGAGTTTAATAAATTACTTTAAATCTTTAAACCCTATGTCCCTCCCTTGAAGTTTACAGAGTAATGTGATTAATAGATGGTTACGTGTGCTATTATAAATAATTCACTTAGCAGGTTTTTTGAGAGAATGTAGAATTTCAGCAAATGATAGGTGCTATTGTTATTACTATAATTCTTATTTTACTTTTTATGATTATGAGTCTAATTTTTTGACAATTTTATTTAGGTTCCACTTATCAGTTATTTTTATGAGGACCTTGCTACTTGACCTTAAGTATCGTATGACATTTATAATTTAAGCAAATATGTTTATGACTTATTTTATTGTTTTAATTTACTTTCTTTTACCTTTTCAAATAATTAATTTACTAGTCCTATTTATTCAACAATTCTTTGTTTCACTAATTTATTTGGTCACCTCTATCACTCTCTCTCTCTCTATATATATATATTCATGGTTGGACTTATGTCTATTTTGTCTTATTTTGATGCTTTATCTGTAAATTGCTAATTTAATTACTGTGAGTTCACAGTAAGATTTAGCTCTTAGTCAATCAAATTGCTCATCGTTACTCACTTATTTTAACAAAATATATAAGTTATTTTCACCTGTTAACATTTTCATTTAACTCCAGATTACAAAGCTCTTAAAAAGGGGATCAGAAAACTGAGAGAGAGAATGAGGAGAAAAGAAGAGAAAGTTAGGGAGAAAAAGAAGGGGGAAAAGAGAAGGGATTGAACAAGACAGAAGATGAGATGGTGGAGAAAAGAGTGGAAAAAGATGACCTTTAAAATACTGCATTAAAACTATAAAATACCTTGGAAAGAAACAATATTTGTACAATTATTCAGTTTTACCATTCAGGGACATTGTAAATCTCTTTGATATCTGAATATTTGTATATATTCACTACACGAAACTTTCATTTTACCTTAAGGTAGATTTTAAATGTAATAATATGGTTTAAATCATTATATGATTGATATGAATAAAAATCTGCCATTCTTATAGAAAATACTAGACAATATAATGGTCACATACAACACTTCTCAGTTAAACTTGAACTTGACATGCACATTATCTAATTGGTCTCATAACAATTTTCCATTTTCCATTTTCAATTACCATTTTTGAACACAGTGTAATGATGAGTAGAAAACCTAATAGTAAAACATATTTGCATTGTCCTGTTTAAAAACCTTAGACTTGATCAGAGGACAAACAAGTTTGAAACAACAACAACAAAAAAGCAGAATCTAAAGAAACGGGGCATGAGAAAACAGGTTTATGTAACATCACCTACAGCCTATATAATAAAAGAGAAAATACATGTCTGGCGCCTGCATATTTTGGAACGTAGCAGCATAATACTCTGTGCACTCACTGAAGTCAACCAAGCAAGCACCACATCGACACTGAACAAGCCTGCAGAGGACACCAAAGCACAACCTGTGCTACACTGACACATACAAAGAAATATGTAGTAACTGTAGAAGCCTAATTTAGGTTCAAAGTAGCACCATGGAATTAACTAGTCACGCCTGAGACTGCCTGCAAGGAGTTACCAACTGAAAACCTAGGTGAGTCAAAAGAAAGGGACAAATAAAGAAGTTTAGGTCATTTATATAAATATGTAAATCCAAGTGTGCTTGTTTGAAAATATTTAGGGCACTGTCTACATACTATCTATTATTTCTCCCTCTCTCCTTGTTGCCTTTCACCTGGAGACTTGGAGGTGGGGAGTTCCTGCCTTAACAGGGTATGTGATCCGAATTGGGACTGCAGGAATTGTACTGCTGTTTACTACCGTCAGCAGCTGTCCTGTTTCTTAGGATCACCAGGGAGGAGTGAGAACATCCGCTGGAGGAGGCAGCAGGAAAGGATATCAACAGAATCAACTTAATTTTTCCAGCATGGAAATAACCCAAGCCATTTAACTGGAAGACAACATTAAAAATGATACCAATGTATTTTAGAAATTATAAGTTTAGCAAAAGGAAAAATTATAGTATTTGAATATTTCCTTTTGGTTTCCACTATATGCCACATATCTAAATTGCATGTTGAATGCAGCTGACAAATTTATTCAGAGAACTGGACATGCTGCTATTATAGTGTCCTGTGGTGGGCTCAGTAATTGGACATTGAATCTAGCTAGAATTCATACCCAGTGACGTTTTGCTGAGGGTAAATGTATTCTGGCAAATGGCATGATTTTCTCTAGCTAGAATACTAAAATGGAGGCAGTCCACCTGTGTGGACAGCTGCTACTTCACAGATTCTTTGCCAGGAACCACCATTTAATAGAATTGTGTAGACATTACGTTTGTTGTTTTCCTCTGACAAAAAGCAAGATGAGTTGAACCTGAGTTTTTGCCTTGTCTTGTTTTCATAGCTTCTGTGATTTATCAGGAAACAATACTTGGTAATGTCATTTTCTTTGGTTCTGGTCAGAGCAATCCTTTGATACTTTATGAATTACTTATCTCACTTTCATAAGGCTTAACGTGGAAAATTAACCTCCCATACATTTCTAATTAGTTTTTAATGAATTTTAGCTTCCCTGATAGGAAAAGCTCTATCCAACTAGCTACTAGAAATTTAATCTGCATTACTGAAGTATATGACAACCACCCCTAGGGGAGAAATGTCCTTGAGTTGTGTGTATGTGTGTATGTGTATGTGTTTGTCATTTTCAGAAATAATTCACATTCTAAATGTTTACCTCCATCTTTGATTGCATAAGGAACTACCATCATTTGCAACGAATAAGTGATTTTCATTATGCAATGCTGACCATAATGTAAATTATACAATGATCAGAAGTACTGAATTGCTTGTATCTGCTTATGCTTTTAAGATATAAAAGAAATAGGTCAAACTAGCAAATTATGTAATTAAATGTAATTTTCCAAGTTAAGGGTACATTGGCCAGAATAAAACCAAAAATATAGTATCATACCCAAACTGAACTAAAATAACTTCAAACAATTAAGATATTATTTTATTTAATGAATAAAAATCTATGAGATTTTGTTAGGTCAAATTTTACAATATATGGTAATGCCAATGAAATAATTTATGCTATTAACATCCATTTTCTTCATCTATAGTTTTCATTTTTTTACCTCTCAATTGGCTTAGTTTCTTTCTTGTTTTTGAAAGAAATTTCATTTTTACATATTGGAAAGATTTTCATTAACACAAGAAATATTCTATATTTAAGTTTTATTTGAGTTTAAGAAACATTCACATTAAGGAAACTTTTATTTGAAATATCTTGCATTAAAAAAGAACCAATTTGATATGAAGAATACATGACCTCAATTTTATATAAAATCAGGCCATGTGAGAATGTAAGGGCAATTTCTAGAATAAGGAATGCAATGGCTTAAAGTTACACACATAGCATCTGTATTAAAAATAAAGAGACCAAGATAGGAATTAATAGTGAACTAAAACAAAAGAATTAACAGATATAATTAGTGAGAAGCACATATTTTGTTAGGCAATATATGTAAAATAATCTTTCAAGAACTGAATAAAATATTTAAAAGAAAAAAGTTCTCAAAACTATGTAAATGCTTTTGAACTGATAAATGAATAGCAAATTAGTTTAAATAATTTGGAATATGTTGATTATATTTTCTTTTCATTTGCCTCAAATATATGGAAAAATAAATGCTTTTTATTGGTAGTGAATGGCTATGTATACACTCTATATAATAATAAATAGGCCACAAACCATTAAAGCATATTTAAATATCCCATGTCTTCTATAATTTAATATCTACTATTTTCTCATAAGCAATGAGATTATCAAGGGAGGTTGCTTGCTTTAAAATACTTTATCATGGGTAGCCTCTTCCGATGAGGTGATCTTTGAAGGCTTTTCAAGCCCTCTAGAGTTCATGGCCTACCATTTCGTATTCTGGACACCTGCTAAATGTAAGTGCTCTTGAAATTGTGTGTGTTTGTATGCATGGATGTATAAAACTGCCAATCTCAGGAATCACCCTTTTGAGGAACAAAGCTGGTTGTAATTCAAAAAGGAATGAAACAATGTAGTTATCCTAAAGCAGTTTTTAGGATTGGGAGAAGGGTGGTCAGACAGACATAGAAGCAATTTGTTATACTACAAAGCTGAACAACATAAATGCCATATGCTATAAAAAGTGCTTAATGGGCACTATGGGAGGAATATTTAATCATTCATTTCAACTAGGGGCTATAAAAATGACTTCAAGAAGGAGATAATAATTCAGCTGGACTGCATGTGTATAGAACATTTTTCTGCACTGGCAAATAACTGTGATCAAGAAATGTGAATGTATGTGATATCCTGGGACTTAACCATAGGACACATGGGGGAATACACTAGAAGATAAGACAAAATCATAGACGACACAAATGACATATTAGGAGGAAATGCAGTACAACTGGAAATTTTTACAAAGAAAGGGACACAATGAAACTTTGTCGATACTGTGTTTGTTAGAATTGTTTTCTTACTGTTAATGGAAACAGATGAGGTAGAACAAGAAATAGTAAAAACAGGACTAGAGACAACCTTGATGATCCAAAATGAAGGAGATGATGATGATAATGATTCTGGTGGTGAGTGATGGTAATGGCCATGACGATGGGATGATAGTGGTGATAGTGGAGTCGGTGATATTAGAAACTTTTGTGGAAATAGCTGTTTATTGAGCTCTTCATATGTACCAAAAATGTGTTAAACATTAATATTCATTACCTCTAATCTTAACAGCAAATTTGTGAGGAGAATTTGTCTCCCACAGATGAATAAATGAGGCTTAAAAGAATTAAACAGCTCCCCTAAGGTTATATCCTATCAGAGGCCAGAACAGGAAGGTAGGTCTGTAAGGCTTCCTAGCTGATATATTTAGACTTTCACTGTGGTGCTTCCCATTAGCGACAGGGAAGGGACACACTCTAAAAGGCAAGAGGATGTAATAAGGAGTTTCTGATCAAAGCTTTAAGTAGAATCAAGCAATAAGTAATATAAATACTGTGAATAGATACTGAAATCAGTAATTTTAAAGGTCAATGGTAATGCTAGAGAATAGTTTCCATAGTGGTGACTATAGAAGCCAGGCTGCAAGGGGCTGAAACATTGGTGGTAAGCCCTCAGGAGTTTTCTAGGGACACAATAAGATATGGGTATTATTTTGAAAGAGAAAAGCAAAACTAAAGTAAGGTTTTAAATTTTTTTTCTGTTTTGCTTATTATGCTATAAAAGTCTCAAGCATCTTTGGGACTTGCAGAAAAAGAATTATAAGAAAGTGAAGAGAAAATTTCAGGAGACATAGGAAATGAAGGGACACAGCACTGAAGAAATGAAACTGTGTCATTAAAAGCACTGGTAGATAAGTTGGACAAAAAAATAAAAACGGAAGGTAAAGGTATTTTATTATCAAATCAATAGTCTGGTAGAAAATAAATCTTAAACTAAAAGTCAGTCAGACAAATAAGGTTGTGAAAAGGGAACTGCCAGGATTTAGACACTGACTTCACAGGTTATGTTTAGCAAAAAAAGCACAGTGTCCAAAAATTAAATCAATCTCGTTTCAAAGTACCACCAGATGGCTAATCTATATAAAATTGAGGGTGGTGTTAGCTGGTGAGCAAAACACAGCAAGAGGGAATTTAGGAGACATGATTTTCACATATCTGGACAGGTGGAAAACAGGGATATTAAGTGCAGGACAGAGACCTGGTCAAAAAAGCTTATGCTCAGAAAGGAGTTGAGTGCTCCTGATAGAGAAAAGAACAGAAAAGAACAGGAGGGATGAATAAAGGAAATTTATAACCAAATTGGAGGGAAGTTGAAGTAATTATCAACAAATGGTTTCTAATTTTTCAGAGAAAGGGAAAGCAGAAGTGTGGAATAGAGAGTATGAGGATTTGGGAAGATCTGAAAGACATGTAACCACTATTTAGAGGAAGTGAAGGAGTGCCACAGACATGAGAAATGAATCTGGTAACAGCACTGCCAACTCTGCTGAATGTTACATGATATTTCACAAATGGAAGGCACATGTTATGTGATTAAATGTCCATTATCACACTGGGGGAAACACTATACGTAAACAATTTTAATCACTCCATAAATGTAAAAATGTGTTCTGTGCAGAAGCAGTCAGAGTATCTGCAACTATTAGAATACCAAGAGTTTTGGAATTAAATAGTCTCTGTTCCTCACAGCAACTTCCTCCAACATTGGAGGCTGTATGATAAACAAAATAACCCTGAGCTCCCATCTGGTCTCTGTGTAGCACAGGAAGCCCAGGCATGCCCCGCGTCATTTTTTTTGGTATTGAATATAGCCTGCAGTAAAGTGAGCACCTGCACTACAGGAAAATAATCCATCGTCATTTTATCAAACAGATTTTCAAAAATAAGAAGCCCATGCTTCTATTTCATACTATGCATTTGGATTTAGGCAACCACTTTCTTCCACAAGCCTAGCTTTTTATATTGCCTGTGCACACACAGTTCCCCCTTGGATTCAAAGTGCTCTGTGTATGAAAAAGGAAGAACGGTATGCACTTGAAATATTATCTTATTAAATTGTTTTAGTTCTTAACTCTCATACCCATGGGGTTGATAGGAAGGAAGCAGCGTTATTCAATTATAAAGTTACTCTCTTCTTAAACAAATGCTTTAAATTATACCAAGGCAATTTTTTCATTGGTGGCATTTAAGTGGAAGTTATATACAGCCGTCTCCTGGGGCATTATACTCTTGTCTTCTACCCTTAATTTGACCTGAAGAAATTTCCCACAGCCGAGTTAGCTAGCAGGTGAAGGAAGCAGAAACATGCCAATGTGCCCATTAATCAGAACTCTAGACTTAGAGAACACATATATCAATGTTTTCTAAAAGCTCTTCCTAATAGGGCCTGGAAAAAGGCAGAAGCATTTTTTCCTCTACCTAAGAATTATCTTCCTTAAATATGCTTATTTTGGAAAAAAAAGTATTTTGTTTAAAGCTAGACAAATGTACCATGTCTTCAAAGAAGGTTGAGATAAAATAACAAAACACTGTTAATCAGAAAACATGAAGTCTTAGGTGCAATTTTACAAGGCAAATGTCCCAAGTATATTCCTAAGAAAATATTTCCCGTGTGTTTGAGACTCTCCACTTCCTGGCACCCAAAGCATTCAGTTCTTGCTCCTCTATCTTCTGTCATAAATACTTTGAATCTTCCCCACTTTGTGGTTTCTTCCCTGCTTCCTTCAAATACAGAATGTTACAGTCCCCTGGGTTGATCTCTGACTCCCTTCAAACTCTCATCATCTTGATTCATTTTTATTGTTCACCTTCCATAGAGTGACTATTCTCAACTGACCTTTCTTTTTTTCAGGTCTATGTCAACTTCATTCTCGACAGGTGGCCTTACCTCCTAATTCCCCAAGACAAATCCAGAAGAACCATCAAATTGATTGTGAGCACGCTCATAGCACTGCACTTCACTTCAGAATCCATACTAGCTCTTATCCTTCTCTCTAATGTCCAAAAATAGAGGCACTTCTTCCTGCCCAGTCAGGTCAAAACTGTCCGGACACTGGACCTCCCCTCCAACCTCCTCTGGAGACAGGGGTCCTTTCACTTATCATCCTCATTGATGTCAGCATATTTGCTGTTTTACTTGCCTAGCTCCTTCCTTCATGTCTTTAAACAATCATATCTATAAATATTCTGGAGGGAAGATAATCATCTCTTCTCAAAATGTATTTGATCCTGCTGCTCATCCCTGAAGCCATTCCAGGACTCTCAGCTTTACTTTCATTAATGCCTTTGAACTGGCTTCTGCTTCCATTAGTTTGTGCCTAAATTAAGTTGTGTTTATAGATTTGCTCAACCACAAGCACATGTGGTTGCACATGCAAACACAAATTTATGCAGACATGCACCCATCCCAAGTTCTCAGTATATTCCTTCCATTTGACACTGTTATACTTGGCTTGTCTAGTATTCCTCTAACAACAGTATTGCTTGTCCATCTGGCTGAGTGTCCTTGCTCAAGAAATTCCCCCATGGCTTCCTTTTTCATCCCACAGCCCTGTCACTCCAGAATATTGTGCAAGGGTTAGACTTCAGTCTTCTCTAAATTCTCAGTGAGAGCATACATGTTGATATCTTCAACCTTTCTAATGCTGTTTTTTTTTTTAAATTTCCTTATTCTCCACCCATGACTTCCACATGTAAGCACATATTAAATGGAGGGAGTCCCATCTAGACTTAGTTTATGAGTTTCTGAGCTCAGAATCTACATTTTGTATTTTACACACTTATTTCCAATTCTGCTGGAGAACACCTGGTAATGAACATTCAATACAAATATACTGACCACCTATCAGGTGCTATGTTAAAACAAGAAAATAATACAAATAATATACAATGTGTGTTTTCAGAATCCACCAGCATAGAGGAAACAATCAAAAGGCAGAGCTATTAATGGTGTAGTAATACAAGCACAGCATGTTATGATAGTAAACAAGAGAGAGGGAAGTTTATCTTCTTTTTGATTTTCAGTTACACTTGGTGATCCCCTTTATTGAAACTCCCTGCCCCTCTGATTTCTTGGTTTCTAAAATTCCCCTGCTATGACCAGAGGCCTGGCATGAAAGGAAAGTGTTCAGAGACTAACAAAAGTCTAATTTTCCTAATCTAACAGGGGAATAACACTATCCTGCCTAACTCATGATAAACATGAAGATCAAATATGCATTGTACTTGAAAGCAGTTTCTACATTTTTTATCCTTAGATTTAGTCTTCAACTTTGGAGAAAAGTTAATCTTGCTTGCTAACTAAATGAGGGACCCAAATCACAATGTAGCACTAAGCTCTCCCCACAGGGACCCGCTCTTTTACAGAACTCACCCTCTGGATTTATATTCACTTCATATTTCTAGGTGTTACCTCAGACGGATAGTACAGCCTTTCCAGATCCCCATGTCCTACTATTTCAAATGATTTAATTTCTAAAAGTCCATTTTAAAATGACTTTGTGCCTTCAAAAATTGCATATCAATAGTCTAGAAAAAAAATTTCAACTGGGTATTCTTCCAGGACCTCAAACCAAATTGGTCATGGTGTCCTGCGAATACACCCAGCGTCCCCAACCAGCACCAGGCTGCTTTATTTTTGTCAATGTCACAAAAACAAACAGGTTAGGAAAAAATAATTTTTCTTTACTTTTGCCTCTCTCACTTCCAGTCAGTTACTGACATTATTTTTCTGACACCTTTCAGTCTGTCACGTTCTTCATATTCCCGTTACTTGCCCCTCTCTATTAAAGAACACACCTAGAATATTATAATGATGCAGTAACTCCCCTGACCGCCCCTAGTTTCTACCTTCCTGTTACATAGTGCGAACTTGACCATGACTCCCCAAAATAACTGTTTTCACATCAGCCTTATGTTCAGAAATATTCCATAGGCATCCTTTGCCAGAGAGACTAATTCCAAATTGCTTTGCCTCCCTTGTCAATCTGATGACCTACTACTTCGCGGCTTAATTCTTGTGGCGTTAGCTATTTGCAGACACCCAAGAGACTTAGATAATTTCCTCTTTTCCCTTTTTCCACTTTCCTTAAAGGCTCATCTGAAGTCCAATTTTGTCTGAAGGACTTTCTAATCAATCTCCTATGGAGAATAGATGCCCAAATTTGACACTTACTTGGCAAGTTAAGTATTACAGATTCATTGATATTCTTGTGTATGAATTCTGTTCTCCCTGAAAATCATGGATAGTGTATTATACCACACTATCCCTATCGCCTAGGGTGGTACCTTTTCCATAGCAGCTCTTCTTGTTTTTGATGGAAATGCTGATGATGTGGTGTCCTATATTCAGGCTCATGTCATTAACATCTTCCACAGGTACCTCTGCTTCATGTACCCTACCTCAAATGCTTGTTAAGTTAAAACAGAACAAACTCCTTCACTTTCCCTCAGCCATCTCTTAATGATTTTCAAAGCTGACCCTATTCTTCTATGACCCAAGGTCTGCTTGAATTTTTGAAGTTAGTTTGCTTACAATTTTTCCCATCACTGAAATATCTCACAAGTGTATACCAACATTTACCCATAAAAAACTTTCTATCAATCAAACATTTAACCAAATATGTAATGTACATGCCAACACTCTCTGGAGCAAGAATTTACAACATTGCCTCTTGAACTTAACCCCAACAGCTCAGCTTGACACTCAAGAGTGTACATCAACTGGACCCACCTTCTCATTTCAAACATTTGTCTTGATTCAGTCTATGTACTTCTTAGTCTTGCTAATGTATGCCTTCATATTTCAAGAATATCCTACCACAACTAGCCAGGTACAGTGGCTCGCGCCTGTAATCCCAGCACTTTGGGAGGCCGAGGCAGGTGGATCACCTGAGTTCAGGAGATCGAGACCAGTCTGGGCAACATGGTGAAACATCTCTACTAAAAATATAAAATTGGCCAGGCATGGTGGTGCACGCCTGTAATCTCAGATACTCAGGAGGCCGAGGCAGAAGAATCGCTGGAACCCGGGAGGTGGAGGTTGCAGTGAGCTGAGATTGCACCATTGCACTCCAATGTGGGTGACAAGAGCAAAATTCTGTCTCAAAAAAAAAAAAAAAAAAGAATATTCTGCCACAACTGAAATCCATCACCATTATTGGGCCAAATCAATTCCTATACTATCTTAACCAAGTAACTAAGTTCCATATTTCAATTTTGATTTCTTGTAATACCTAAAGTGCATTTTCTTGCATTTGTTTATATATTGCTTACAAATCACCTCAAATTTTTATGCCTAAATTTTACCAATTAAATCATAGGTTTCCAAAAAGCTAAAAAGCTTTTCTTATAAATGCCTTTTTTCCCCCACAGTATCATACATAAGTTGATGTGGGATGAATAGTAAGCTAATGATAACTGAAATGAATTGATACAAAATTAAAGGAAATAAAAATGAGTTCCCAGTTATTAATATCACTATATCACATCCTCAGGGCACATTACATTACACAGATGGAGGGCTTATAGTTGTATCACACCCAAATTTTATGCTCAATAAATAACCACATATGCTTATTAATTAAAATAATTACAGTATGCCCCCTTGCGTTTGTGTTCTCAATAGACATGAAACAGGATTTTTTTAGCACTGAATGGATTCCAATTTTGACAATTATGATGGCTACAAATAGATGAGGGTGTGAGGATAGTATACGGATTTTTAAAAATACATCAGCTTTTCTTATTTCTCTACAGGTTGCCTTTGAATTATTTGAGGGCAAAATGCTCCCTTGGTATGGGGAAAATTTTAATAAGATTTTGATTATGTAAATGTATTATAATAGCTAAGAGACAACCATTTGCATAATAATAATTTTTAAATAGAGTTCTCTCTTCCTCCATGAACTTTCATCTCTGATGTTTTATTTCATTTCATTTTATTTAACTTGAAGACTGAACTGTGACTGGGAAAGAAGGAGATAAGATGGAAACTTGTTTTCCTCTGTGTGGACTCAGCATATTAAGGACAGTGGGTTGGGGGAAAAGGGTAGGTGGGCATAAATTCTGTTTGCGAGTGACCTGGTTAAGAATATTCTTACCGAGAGGGATAAATTGGCCCATGAAACACGGTAGAAGTCTAAACTATAAGAACTCAGTGAGGAACCCAGTGAGGAGTTTTGTGTTATGAAGCATGAGAGCAGTTATATCTAGAAATGAGTTTAATCATTCTTGTCTGTGCCTGACATTTTCAGTAAGTACTGTTAGGTAGTAGAGCCTGGACTTAGCTATTCTCAGAGAGATACCAGGTAACCTGCATCCACATTTGCAGAAGCAGCAGTACAAGTGGAGGAGAAGTGTCCTGGAAGAGGAAACCTGCACTCAAGGGATAGAAGACGAAGCCCAGAAGAGTGGAACAATAGGCTAAGCTTAGGACAGATGGGCAAAAAAGGTAAGATCTCCTTGGGACTCCCAGATATACATAGGAACAAATAAACCTAAAAGAGGACTAGCTTCCTGAAGTTGGGCATGTTGTAACTTAGACAATGGTTGTTTAGGAATTAAAGGCTAATAACTGAAGTCTGTAATATTTGGTTATGTGCTTTAAAACTTTTCTGGATGACATTATGCCCATCTTTCACTAACCCATACCACCCATCCTCAGCCAGCACCCTCACTGTCCCCACCTCACCCTCACTGGCCAATGGTAGGTTTCAAAACACACAGCGAAAGAGCTCATTAAAAATAAAGCAGACATGGATAGAAGTCTTTGCAGAATAAACAGTTAGCAAATGGCAGAAAAAGAAAAAATATTTACTAACAAAGTTGTAGGCAAAAATAAAATTAAAATTTAATCAGCCATTACTTCTTAATATTTTGCTTCAGTGCAAATATATAGATGAACTACATTTGATAACATGCAAAAAGAGCTAACCTATTCAAATTAATAGGTTCATTTTTTTCATGGAGTCTAAACCCCCAGCAATACAAAATCATTCTTGTTGCAGTCAGTAATACATATGTCCTATTTTGATTAGCCCTTTTCTGAAAATTCACCCTATCCCCGAGTCACATAGATTGTAATTGTATGCTGAAACATTCCCAGTTATTTTAGAACATATGAAGCTTTTATAAAAATTCAGTGATCCCAAGAAAACTAAGTGTTTAATGAAAAGCTTGTGATTTAATACTAACTTAAATATATCATGTTCTAAAACTTACTACTTTTCTTGAGCAATACTTTTTATTCCTACTACAAAATATGTGGATACTGATATTTATGGCAGCAATGTTAATTGCTGAATTGCAATACACCCAGTTTCATAATATAGCTGTTGATATTCTAATGTATTTTTTTCAATTATCAAGGACGGTCACAAAATGGATGTTCACTAACTAAATATTCTGATTAACATAGAGAGGTTACACGTGGGTTACCTATTATCCATGAATAAGACCACATTAAATTGTTAACTCATTTGTTATAAACAATGTAATATTTTATAGATTCAGATTACAATTCAAGATCCTACATTATTGTAGTGTCATCAATATGACCATCAATATACTTATTGACGTATAAGAATTCTGCCTAACATGCCAGATACAGACTATTTTGACTTCCTCTTCAGTAGTCACAATCCTTGCTTTAGAATGCAATGGTGTTCTTTTTTTAAGTGTATCCTGCAACAGTATTATGATTATTGCTGAGAAAATGTTAGAATAGGCAATCATAGTGATTAAACTATGGTGATTTATGAAATTTAATAACTATTTTCTTGACAGCCAGAGTAATTGGACAGATGCACACACATAAAACTTAATCATGATACAGTTATTTGAAACCATTTTTATTCAACATTAGAATATGGGACAAATTTACATGCAATACTGTCAATAAAATACAAATACTGATATATTAGGGTTCTCTTAGAGGGACAGAATTAATTATACACACACACACACACACACACACACACACACACACACATATATATATATATAAAGGGGAGTTTATTAAGTATTAACTTATATGATCACAAGGTCCCACAATAGGCTGCCTGCAAGCTGAGGAGCAAGGAGAGCTAAGGGAAGCAGAGCATAAAAGTTTGGAAAATTTACAGCCTGACTATGCGACAGAAAAGAAAAACCCATTTTCTGGGATAAATTCAAGCTGGCTGCAGAAATTTGCATAAGTAGCAAAGAGCCTAATGTTAATTCCCAGGACCACAGGGAAAATGTCTCCAGGCCATGTCAGAGACCTTCATGGCAGCCCCTCCCATCATAGACCAAGAGGCCCAGGAGGAAAAAGTGGTTTCATGAGCTGGGCCCAGGGTCCCTGTGCTGTGTGTAGCCTGGGGACATGTTGCCCTGTGTCCCAGCCTCTCCAGCCATGGCTGAAAGGGGCCAATGTACAGCTTGGGCTGTGGCTTCAGAGGGTGGAGGCCCTAAGCCTTGGTGGCTTACATGTGGCATTGGGCCTGTGGATGCACAGATGTTAAGAATTGAAGTTTGGGAACCTCCACCTAGATTTCAGAAGATGTGTGGAAACGCCTGGATGCCCAGGGAAAAGTTTGTTGCAGGGGCGGGGTCCTCATGGAGAACCTCTGCTAGGGCATTGTGGAAGGGAAATGTGGGGTGAGAGCCCCCACACAGAGGCCCTACTGGGGCACTGCCTAGTGAAGCTGTGAGAAGAGGGCCACCATCCTCCAGGGTCCAGAATGGTAGATCCACTGACTCCTTGCACCATGCACCTGGAAAAGCCACAGACACTCAATGCCAGCCCATGAAAGGAGCCAAGAGGGAGGCTGTACCACGCAAAGCCACAGGGTCAGAGCTGCCCAAGACCATGGGAACCCACCTCTTGCACCAGTGTGACCTGGATGTGAGACCTGGACTCAATGGAGATTGTTTTGGAGCTTTAAAATTTGACTGCCCTGCTGGATTTCAGACTTGCATGAACTCTGTAACCCCTTTGTTTTGACCAATTTCTCCCATTTGGAATGGCTATATTTGACAAATACCTGTACCGCCATTATATCTAGGAAGTAACTAGCTTCCTTTTGATTTTACAGGCTCATAGGCAGAAGGGACTTGCCTTGTCTCAGATGAGACTTTGGACTGTGGACTTTTGGGTTAATGCTGAAATGAGTTAAGACTTTATGGGACTGTTGGGAAGGCATAATTGATTTTGAAAAGTGAGGACATGAGATTTAGAGGGGCTAGGGGTGGAATGATACTGCTTGGCTGTGTCCCCACCCAAATCTCAACTTGAATTGTATCTCCCAGAATTCTCATGTGTGTGGGAGGGACCCAATGGGAGGCAACTGAATCATGGAGGCCAGTCTTTTCCATGCTATTCTCGTGATAGTGAATAAGTCTCATGAGATCTGATGTGTTTATCTGGGTTTCCACTTTTGCTTCTTCCTCATTTTCTCTTGCTGCCACCATGTAAGAAGTGCCTTTCACCTCCCGCCATGATTCTGAGGCCCCCCCAAGCCATATGGAACTGTAAGTCCAATTAAACCTCTTTTTCTTCCAAGTCACGGGTATGTCTCTATCAGCAGCATGAAAACCGACTAATACAACTGCTAATGAGAATTTTTGCCAAATGATAACTTAAGGGCTGTGGGCATTTTGTTCCCAAGAAAACTCTCAACTAGGTAATTCTGACTTTTTCTAGATGTCATAATCTCCTATAAACTATTCAAAGATTCTTCCATTTCACACTTTCATATCAATCTTCTTCCTTACTCTATGTTTAGTGCCAAATTTGCAAATGCAATTGGCTGAAATGATTCCACTTAAAGTACTTAGATGAATTATGCTAAGTATATGGAAATAGTATGTTCAGATTCTGAGTCAAGTCTAGGAGATTGCTTCAGGACTTGAGAATGTATTCTATAGGTTCAAATGGATGGAAAAAATAATTAAGCATGCTATCTGATTGCAGACTGTAATAAAAAGTTCTTTATCAATTGATCCATTAGCACAAACTCTGCCACAAATATGAATGCTATATAACTGTTTGGTATTGAGTGATTTCACTACCTTTGCTGCTGACAATGCATTAATGGATGATTCATTGCTCTCTGAGAAGCAACACATAGGGCCGCTTACACACAAGCCTATTCTTTTGTCCATATAGCTTGAGTCTTAATTCAGATAGGCTAATAGCCTGAAAGAAAATGGTCTTAGCCAAACTGTTTTTTATTCAGGGGAAATATTTTTATATCTAAGGCATATTTTTCCTGTAATGAATATATAATTTCATGCATTACATGTGATTATATAATTTAATTCAATGAAGGTAATTTTATTTCCTAGTTTCCAAGGGGCTCACTGACTCTTATCATCCTCACCTTAATTCTGTGTAAGCCTTCACTACTGCAGGCTGCCTTAACAAGGTAGTGACTTATGGAAGCTGTAAGATGACTGTGAGCCTGCTGCTTTTATGATGGATGTATTCTGTCCAAAAGACACAATAACCCAATAACTAAGCAAATACAAAAAACCACAAGGGAAAGCAAATGGACTATGGGACTAAGAACATGAAATGAAATATTTAGAGGATGTAGAAATCAAATTATCTCCAAACAATATTAAATAAAATAAAAAAATGTTAGTTTAAAAGGATTAGAGACTCCAAAAAATTACTAAAGAAATCAAGTGAATGTTTTTGGAGAGACCGAGAAAAACTACAGACCAGGGACAAGGGGAAGAGGGAAAGCTCAAGGATAAATAAGAAAAGGCCCTATTAGAAATGGAGAGTGAAAAAGGAGAACAAATTAAAAGAGAAAGAGCAAAGAGAAAAACAAAGGGTCATTGAGAGAACAGCCATGTCACAAGTCACAATGGGATGAATTCTATTAAGATATGAGAAACAGGATTCTAATTATGATGTAGTATCATGTATTTCAAACAAATTCCAGTTTATTTGATTATATAAAAATTATAAACATTTTTATAGTGAGATACTTCCTAAACATAGTTATAGAAAGGGCTCTTGTGAATCAATAAGAAGAAAATAATAACTTAAAAAGGGATAAGTAAATTAAGGATACAAACAAGAGGTAGTCAGAAAACATACAAATCACCTATGAACATAAGAAAAGCTTCTCACCTCACTAGGAATTGAAGAAAGAAAAATTAAAATAGTAATGTGATATATTAAAAATTACATTAGTAAACATTTTAAAATTTTTAGATAAATTATTTAAATTTATATTAGGCAACGTTGGCAAGAGTATACCAGAAAGGATATTTTCAAGCTCTATGGAGGCTAATTTGGCAGCACTAACATTTAAAAATGGGAAAAAATGTAAATGTTCATATCTGTGATGCAGAATTCTACTCATAGAAATACATCCATGAGAAAATTTTTACAGTTGTTTACTGTAGCAATTTTGCAATAAATATGCCCATCAATAAAATAATAGGAAACAGTGTCTGGCAAATACTATGGTTTCAATAATTGTAAAGTTATC
Organism: Homo sapiens; assembly: GCF_000001405.40. Taxonomy (NCBI): domain Eukaryota; kingdom Metazoa; phylum Chordata; class Mammalia; order Primates; family Hominidae; genus Homo; species Homo sapiens. Next base: position 68,745,912 of record NC_000006.12, on the reverse strand, counting down.
ATCATCAACAGTATCATTATTACAAATCGCAATAAGGAGACATGGAAGGAAAGCTGTGTTATATTGTGAAGTGGAAAAGGTCAGCTACAGAACAAAATAAATGATAAGCTCACATCAAAGGGAAAGCCATAACTAAATATGTGTGTGGGGGGATATATACACATATATGTACATTCTAAATTCATTTCTAAATATACAAATATACATATTAATATACAATATAAATAAGAAAATACATTTATTTCAAAATAAATAAGATTACATATATGACATATATATATAATTCATGAAGATCAGAAGGGAGAACAGAATATCTACTGAGAATATTTTTTAATTCAGGTAAAAAACACATAACAAACTTTACTAATTATTTTTAAATGTTACATTCACATTGTTGGGAAACAGATGTTCATAACTTTTTCATCTTGCAAATCTGAAACTCTATACTCATTAAACAACTCCTCTCTTCCCTATTTCCCCATTCCCTGGTAACCACCATTGTTTCTGTTGCTATAAATTTGACTACTTTGGATACCTCATATAAGTGGAATCATACAATATATTTTTGTGACTGGCTTATTTCACTTAGCATAATGTCCTCAGGCTTCATCCATGTTGTTGCTTATGACAGAATTTACTTCATTTTTAAGGCTGAAAAATATTCCATTGTATGTATACACCACAATTTGTTTATTCTTCTGTCAATGGTCAATGGGCATTTAGGTTGCTTCTACCTCTTGGCTACAGTGAATAGTGCTGCTGTGAACATGGATGTGCAAATATCTCCTCAGAACTCTGCTTTCAATTATTCTGGTAGTGTATCCAAAAGTGGGATTGCTGGAGCATAGTGATTTTTAGATAGTGTAACCACTCACCCACAGGCTATAGGTAATAGGAGACCTGGGGCACTTTCCATCTTTTTTATTGTATTTGAGGCCTATTCCTGCTTTGTTACAAAATTGCTTTACTTAGATTTTCAGATTGGGTTCTTTTTATATTTCTCTTTGTTTATTCCTATTTTTTAAAATTATACTTCAAGTTCTGGGGTACATGTGCAGAACGTGTAGTTTTGTTACATAGGTATACACGTGCCATGGTGGTTTGCTGCACTCATCAACCCACAACCTACATTAGGCATTTCTCCTAATGTTATCCCTTCCCTAACCCCATATCCCCCAACAGGCCCTGGTGTGTGATGTTCACCTTCCTGTGTCCATGTGTTCTCATTGTTCAACTCCCACTTATGAGTGAGAACATGTGGTGTTTGGTTTTCTGTTTTTGTGATAGTTTGCTGAGAATGATGGTTTCCAGCTTCATCCATGTCTCTGCAAAGGACATGAACTCATCATTTTTTATGGCTGCATAGTATTCCACGGTGTATGTGTGCCACATTTTCTTTACCCAGTCTATCAATGATGGGCTTTTGGTCTGGTTCCAAGTCTTTGCTATTGTAAATAGTGCTGCAATAAACATATGTATACATGTGTCTTCATAGTAGAATGATTTATAATCCTTTGGTTATATATCCAGTAATGGGATTGCTGGGTCAAATGGGATTTCTAGTTCTAGATCCTTGAGGAATTGCCACACTGTCTTCCACAATGGTTGAACTAATTTACACTCCCATCAACAGTGTAAAGCATTCCTATTTCTTCACATCCTCTCTGTTTTTTATTTGATATATTTATTCATTAAAAAAAGTTCTGTTTTTGTATTATAAATGCAATTAGTAAAATAGAAGCCTTCAAGATAAAATAAAATGTGTGTTTTCTTCTTTTCCTTCATTCTTAGCTCTATTCTTCCCCATCTCTTTCCAACACTACTTGTCAAATTTCACTCATGTACAAACCTTTTACCCATGAAAACAACCTGTCATTTTTCCATGAGTGTATGATACTCTACAAATAAAATATATATACATATATACATATATTGTGTTTTAAATTTTAATAGACTCCAGATTGTTTCACAAAAAAAGGAGGAGGGCTCTAACCATTCTCACTTCCACCAGCAGTTTCTAAGCAGTCCTCTGTTCCCTACACATTAGCGCTATGATTCTTAATTTCTGTTATTTAATTAACATAAATTACAAAATTAACAATATAACAGAATTAACAGTTTCTGCAAAACTGCTACAATTCTGTTATTTAGTTCTCTTAATTTCTCAACAGAAATTTACTTGTTGGTGTAAAATTAAGTTTCATTTTAATTTGCATTTTTCTGGCAAGTTCTGAGTGTCAGTTTTATTTCTCATATTTTGGGGAATTTCTATTTCCTTTTTAGTGAATTTCCTTATCTCTTTTCAGAATGTCTATGTCTAGTGTAACCCAACAACTTTACCAGAGCTGACTTAAGAAGATACAAACATGCATATATACACTCACACAATTAATAGTGAAGGAAAGTTCAGCCTCAAAAAATAGAACACATGTCTAAGAAAACATGGGTTATCAAACTATTTGGAAAGTCAGGAAACTTCCCGAACAGAAAAAAAAAATGGAGCACTTAAACATTTTCAAATCTACCACTAACAAGAATTTCTGGATATACACACACACACAAAAAAAAAAACAAGTAGAAGATTCAGATGTCTCAACTTAGGAAATCAGAAGATATATTGAAGGTGAGCACAGTCATTGCTGAGATCTTAATCAGTAGCCTGAATGATCCAGAAGAGAAGGAAAACATGAGAGAAAAGATGAGACTTGGCAGATATATTCAGGTGACCTCATACCCAAGTAATAGGAATAACAATAAAAGAAGGAACAGAGAAAGAATCTATAATTAAATATTTAATTGAAGCAAATTTCTGAGCTAAAGAAATGTGATTCTATAGACTGAAAGAGCTCACGAAATCCAGCCTAGATATATCAGAAAACGTATACGCATGCCTAGTCATATCTGGTAAACTGAGCTGTAAGAATAAACACAAGTACTATAGAACTCCAAACAGGGGTGAAAAAATAGTTGCTTAAAAAGATACAAGAAATACATCTTTATTACATAAAATTTAGGAAAAAATAGAAAATTATAAAAAATATATTAAAATTACATGTATCCCACTATATAAAATATTAATAGATGTTTTAATGTTCACACCATTTAGTTTATTTTCCTTTTTGAGGAAAAACAATATCTAGAAGTTTACGTGGCTACTTTATTATCACATTATTTCTTAAGACTTCAATTAATATTTTAGGATGATTTAACATTTAGTGATTCCCTGCTTAGTGCCAAATACTGTGGTGAAATATTCACCTCTCCTTTATTCTAACTTAACCTTCACAGAAAATCTATGTGGTAGGCATTTATTATTCTCTGTTTATTGAGAGTAAGTGACTTCTTTGGGTGGTGCAGATGTGGGAAGCAGAGGAGTCAGGTTTCAATTTCTAATCCAAATTTTAAACCTGTCCTTTCAACTATAACAACTCACTTTTCAAAGAATCAGCCTTATTCCTGAGAATGATTAATATAGATAGTGCTTTTATTTTTCTTTTTCCCCTCTGTCAGAGTCAAGACCCAGAGAAAGAAAAAAAAAACTATAAGAGTTCCTTTAAAATGTGTATGACCTGTCATAGAAAGGATTAAATTTCCATTCATATATTTATGTTGAGACATAATATATAAACAGTGTGCTTAATGAGAACTGGAAGAATTACAATATATGCTGAATTTGAAACTAGTTTACATCATGAAGAAGCCACTCATTAGCAATGACTTGTGATAAGACTGGGGAGAAAACACCACAAGCAATTTATCTCCTAGGATTTCTTCAGAAGTCAGTGGCAAAGCAATAATAGTCAGTGAATGACATCACAATTTTAACTTATTTCAGGGAAAGTGTTTCCATGTAGTTTTCTTCATATTTTAAGCTAAATTCTTCAAACAAAAGATATATGAACATTCAGTTCTTTGCATTTTTAACACAGAAACTTGTGTTCAAAGTTTTTATGAATTTTCCCATGTGGTCCTTCCTACTTAAACAACATGTGAACTCGTGAATGATAATGAATTTGCATATTTAGCTAAAACGTTATAAGAAGAAGAATGCAAAAAGGAATGCTGAAAAGAATTTTTAAAGAACATTTCATCAGAAGCAAAAATGTTTAGGTTGTAAAAAACTGATGACAATAATTCAACCTGTCACCTTAATCAGCCAGTTTGATATTAGATTACTCTTCTATACTTATGATAGAAAAGGTAACAAACAGTGGTTAAGAAGGCCAGGGCAGGCACAGTGCTCAAGCCTGTAGTCTCAGAACTTTGCGAGGGTGAGGTGGGAGGATCACTTGAGCTCAGGAGTTTAAGACCAGCGTGGGCAATACAGTGAAACCCTGCCTCTGCAAAAACTACAAAAGTTTATCTGGGCATAGTGGCACATGTCTGTAGTCCCAGCTACTCGGGAGGCTCAGGTTGGAGGATGGCTTGAGCTGGCGAGGTGGAGGTTGCAGTTGAGCCATGATGGCATGATCACAGCACTGCACTCCAGCCTGGGCAACAGAGCCAGGCCCTGTCTCAAAAATAAAATATTAAAAAAAATTTAAAAAAAGCCAGACTGCTTGTATTCAAATACCAGCTCTCACATTTGATAGCTATGTGACCTTTGACCTTTAGGAGGTTACTTTATCTCCGGGTGCCTTAGTTTCATAATCTGTAAGATGTGGATAAAAATAGTTTTTGTTGTGGTAGTTTCATGAGAATTAAATGTGTTAACAAATGTAAACACTTGTAATAGTGCCTAGCACATAGGAAGCCCTATGCAGACACTAGATACACCATTTTGTGTCCATGCATGCATTTGTTTCATTTTTTTTTCCTGTCAAGCAAACTGACAAATGGTTTTTCACCAACTTCCATGTTTGTCCCAAAGTTTCAAAACTCACAAGCTCATTCTGTATTCTTCTGCTTCCTTTCCCTTCTTAGAAAACCAAAACATATATCACTGTATGCATGCACTTCAGAGAAACAGGAAGTTGGTGGGGGTGAGGAGTTCATACAGAAGACTGACATGGCCTATCAACACTTAACTATGTTCCAGTTCAAACAAACTCACTTTATCTTTGTTAAGGGAATAGAAGAAATGAAACAAACGGTTTTGCCCCAATTTAAATCCTATAAAGTATTTCTGACATCCTTCTATAGATACACCAAAGGTAGTTTTGCACAACATAATGGATAAATAAATATTATGTTTTACTAACACATAATATTGTTAAGGGACAATTTTAAAACCATTGCATGCATATATTATAATAACATGTAAAAATTAACACTGACATTGTGGCCCATACAAGGACATGATTCCTATGAAATATATGCTTCATTCTTAGTAGCCAAATTGGAATTTTTTTAATAAACAGTTGTATCTAGTCCAAAATCTACCCTTCTACCATATTCTCATCCAAGGTTATTGATACAAATTGATGTTTTTTTCTTAAAGATGCTCTAATTACCCATAAGAATATTTACTTGCTTCTTATTGATATTTGTTTCCTATTTATCACATTTTCTTTTCTTTATAGAGACCAGGTCTCACTATATTGCCCAGGCTGGTCTCCAACTCCTGGGCTCAAGCGATCTTGCTGCCTTAGCCTCCCAAAGTTCTGGAGTTATGGCCTATGCCACCACGCCCAGACTTATCACTTTGGATATAAGTGATAACAGAGGTCTTTGAAAAGCCTGCCCAGACACACAACACTATGCAATTTTTAGTAGCACAGACTTCCATTCCCTAAAATAAAGCCTGAGATTTGTGTAAAGGAAATTCTTTATTAATTATCAGAAAATTGCAGAAGTAGAAAATGTTATATAAGCCTAATCAAGTATAAAATAACTGATAAAATAGAGTGTCAGAGAGTTTTGTATAGACCTGCCACTTCTGAATAATTGGCATTATTATTATTAATAATAATGTTGTACCTGTTATTAATGTTGTTTTTCACTTGAAAATGCTAAATAAGCATCTCTATTAACAAGCTACAACCTTTCGATACTAATAGTACACAAAGTTAAACAAAAACATAGAAAGTTAATTAAAACCAAACAAGTGAGATAATGAAACTAAATGACTATTGATGGCTTAAACTCTACAGCTAACTATGTGATGGCTTGATGTGTGTTCATAATTAACCTACAATTTGAATATGTAAACATTCTGTAGATTTCATTTAGTACCACAGTAATTTTCTTTTTAGAAAATAAATCAGATTAACTCTCTTTTCTGGTCAACTATTTCACTTCTCCTCTCTTTCCATATCTTAAACACCTGCTATCCTCACTCTCAGCTGTTTATTCTCAAAAAATGTAAACAAATAGAACAGAGTTGCCAAAGGCTCTCACCATCATGTCTATCACCTACCTGCATCTAGACCTGTGCACTCTGACTTCTCTCATCTCCCTTCATTCTGCTATCTGAAGAAAATCCCTCCAATTGTGCATCAGGCCCCATCCCCTCTTACCTACCTAAAGACAAGCTCTTATTCTCTTTGTTTCCTATGTAATCATTTTTCAATTTCTGCAGAAATTCTAGTAAGCATATAAAAACATGAAAAACTTTCTCCCAACTAAAACTAAACAAAACCCTCACTTGACCACACATACCTTGCCAATATACAATTAATTTGCCAGTTCTTTTTTCCAACAAAATTCCTACAAAGATCTTTCCTTACTCATTGCTTCCGATCCCTTTCTTCGTATTTACCCTTAAATCCAATCCATTCAGGTCATTCAGCCTTCTACCTTTTAAAATTGCACCAGAGGTAAAGTATTGTTGGTAAGGTCATCATCAATGATCGCTACGTTTCTAAGTCAGTAGTCAATGATTGGTCCTCATTTTAGTTGACCAATAGCAGAATTTGAAACATTTGCTTGCACCTGTTCCTTTTACTTGACATATAAGGTATCACATTCTTAGTGTTTTACCTTACTGACCAGTTCATGTTAGTCTCCTTTCCTGTATCCTCTTCATGTCCCCAATCTGTTGGAGTGACCCAGATCATAATCCTCAGACCCCTTCTCTATTTACAATCACTTTCTTGGTAAGATTATACAATTTTGTAACTGTAAATATCCACTGACAGCTCCCATATTTTAATCTTTATTTGGACATCCCTCTGAAACTTTTTATTTGAATGTGAAATATACATCACAGACTTACTTTGACCCAAATCAAACTAGTAATCTTCCTGCAAAATTTGTTTTTTCCTCATCTCAGAAAATAACTCCATTCTTAAAATTGCTCATGCCAAAAACCTTAACGTCAGTTTTGTTGATAACTCTTATTTTCATATTTTATACTTTAGGAAATCTTGTTGGTTCTTCCCTCAAAACATAGCCAGACTCAAATAATTTCTCATTATCTTCACGACCTTCTCCCTCTAGCCAAAATTATCACCTTTGTTCAGTCCACTGTCATTTTCACCCCTAGGTTATAGAAATAGCCTCCCAACTTATTTCCCCCCTAATTCATCTCCCTGCTTCTAGCTTTGTCCCCCAGCTGTTCTCAGTCTATGGGCCATTTAAAATGTATGTCAGATAATGTCACTCTTTGACAGAAAATCCTCCAGTCAGTCCCCATTTTGCTCAGAGAGACAGCCAAAGTCCTCATACTGGCCTGCAAGGTAATACAAGTGCTCTCTCTCTCCTCACCACTGAGATCTCATCTGCTATCAGTTTGCACAAGCCTCAATGGCTTCCTGAGTTTGCCACAATGGCTTTCCTGCATTTCCTCCAAATTCCCAGCAATGCTTTTGTTTTATGTATTTGCATTTGCCATTTCTTCTGATGAGAACCCTTATCCCAAAACATTAGCATGGCTCATCCTTATTCCCTTTCAGATCTTTGCTCTCAATTTCTTCTTAGTAAGGTCTTTCTTGATCACTTTAGTCAAACTTGTCCATTCTCCCTAGCAACACCTTTCCCTTTCTCCTTTATTTTTCTTCATAACACTTCACCAACTGTGATTATACGCATAGATTTAATTGATTAACATATTTATTTTTGGCCTCACCCACTAAACCCTGAACTCTCATAAAGCAGGTATTTCTTGGCTACTTTGTTGTGCTCTTAGGCCCTGAAGTAGTACCTGCCCGGTAGGAAGAATTCAGTAAATATTTATTGTTGAAGACTTTCAGTCTAACCTTTTTTTTGGCTTTCCTTTGGAAGAGTCATTTATAGGAAGCTGAGCTGATTTGTAATCATTGAGAACGACGAGATTACAAGCTCATAAAGGAACATGGACAATTTATGTTTGGACTGTCTTATTCCAGGGCCCACAGTTCTCCTGAACCCACTTTCCAATCTTGGGTCTCTACAGTCACTCCACTTCTTGTTGTCTATTTAGTGCTTGATAATAATATTCTTATTGTATGGGGGAACAAGTGGCAAGAACTTGCAATTTTGGAGTCTGAAGACCTGAACTTCAATTCTGATTCCAGCTCAAAGGAATCAAAACACTTATTATTGAGAAACAATGTTCTTATATTCAAAATGGAGGTTTACATCAAGTAATGACAAAAATACCATTGAAAAATTATACACATCCCTTAAACATGTGAAAAAATGTGCAACATCACTAGTAATTAAATAAATGCAAAAAAAGAATGTCTTTTTTCCCTACTAAATAACAAACCACAAAATACTCAGTGCTATGAAGGATGTGGAGAGCTGGCTCCTGGCAGAGGGACAATTATTTGATACAATTCTTATACTTGATTCATAACTCTTAATACAGTAACTCCACTGATGAGCAATAATAATCTAAGATGCATATACAAATTTAAGCATGAAAACATTTATTCTTAACATTTTTATAATACTGGAACATTACTAAAAATGACCACAAATAAAATTTAAGCAAATTATACTTTTCTCACAGATTAAAACATAGCCGTAAGTAATATTTGCTACTATATGGGAAAATGTTTATTACAACTTATTGAGGGAAAATATCCTTATCAAAAGGTGTAACATATTAAAATACTAAACATGACTAATTCAAGTTGTTAAAAAAGAGAGAAAAACTGACAGAAAATAAAGCAACTATTAGTAGTGACTAATAGTTGTCATTATTAGTGACCCAGCTTCTAGGTACTGGGATAAACTTTTCTGTATTAAAAAATGTAAAAATAATAATTTTAAATATGTTCCTGCTTCCCTTAGGAACATAGAAAAATTGTAAGATACTATATTAACTAAGCAACTAAAATTATTTATTCAATATTTAGCATTTTATTTTTGCAAAATTTAATCTTCATTCTCTTTTGGTCATCTCTAAGTGCACAAGTCCTCTAAAAGCTTCTTAGTCTTGTTTTGGGGACTTTTCAAGGCTTTCCAGCTTCAGTCTCTCTCTGTTATCCATCCAGAGATCTTTTTCTCAAAGTCCTCATTGAAATCTTACACAGAACAGTAATATATCTGCATTTAATTAAGTCTAATTAGTAGAGACACTCACACTGTGGGAAAACAAACCTTGCTGTCAACTGACATCAGCAATTGCAGATAAGTAGAGTGCCACTTAATACAGTTTATTATATTTTATTACAATAGAGATATTCAATGTTAATTATGTTGTAAAATTTTTAAAGAATTATTTTCTGGCTGGGCATGGCGGATCACGCCTCTAGTTCTAGCACTGGAGAGGCTGAGCCGGGTGGATAGCTTGAGCCCAGGAGTTTGAGATTAGCCTGGGCAACAAAGAGAGACCCTATCTCTATAAATTTTTTTTTTTTTTTAATTAGCCAGTCATGTTGGCAAGTGCCTATAGTCCCAGCTACAGGAGAGGCTGAAGCAGGAGGGATCTCCTGAGCCCAGGAACTTGAGGCTACAGTGAGCCATGATCATACCACTGCATTCCAAACTGGGCAACAGAACAAGACTCAGTCTCTAAATCAACAACAATGAAATATTTTCTAACTTCCTGAAAGATTGGTAAGCTATTTTAAGTCACACAGTTCTTTACCCATAATGCAAAATTCAAGGCAAAAAAATGTAATAAAATATTTTGTAGCACTCAGTGATTGCTGCTCTATAAAGACTGCAAAATCTTTTCATCCAAAACCTTTCATCGAAATGGAAAAATTCATCTATTTTAAGACAGAAAGAAACTTAGATATTAGGAATTTGCTGCTAATATGGGCTTATGCAATCTTGAGTTCTTTTTCTCTATAAAATCAATTCAGTCTAATGCCATAAGCGTCCATGGAATAATGATCTCACACAAGCATGGTAAAAAGACAATCCCTGGGTTATTCAGTTTAAAAGCATTTTCCTCATAATTTCATTATAACCTCAAAACTTAGAATGCTAAAAAGTTCCAAAAATTTTAATCAGTTTAATTTGACAAATTTAAATTTATCAATATATGAGCACAACTATATTCTTAAATCAACATCATCTTTCTGGTACTTTCCAAATACTTGCATAATAAATTAATAGATATCTTTTCTATTTCTAATTTGTAAATGATTTCCTATATTCTTATCTATCATATATATTTACACAGTATATAATTCTAATTCAATTTAATTCCTCTCAATTGTATCATCACTTTATTCTCTATTGTAGAAAATTAAAAATATGTTAGCTATTCCAAGCACTGATGAAACTTTCAGAAAATAGGCAAACATATTTTTTCACGTATGTCTTAGATTAAATTATTTGTATTTTATATTTTAAGTAACCTTCATTCTGGAATTTAACTTAATTATTCATTCATTCGACAATATTTTTGATCATGCTTATGTCATTGACTCCTAATTTAAAAGCTTTGGTTTCTCATTACAAGTAAAAAAATAAAAATACATATTTATATATGTAGAATACAATAATACATAGCTTTTAAATTATGGTCAGTGACATAAGCTATTATAATATTAGAAATTTTCTTCAATCTTTGCACTAGTATTCCATATTTTCATAGTATTATTTGACCCTGTGTCATCTCTATGTTTTTATCACTTCACTTTATTCCTTCAAGTGCTGAAATCCCTAGTAGAAACCCAAGTTAAACTCTTTCAGTAGGAGGTCCTTTCAGATGACCTCACAAACTGATCTCCTACTTTTCATTAAATCAGTTTAATTGTCACATCTGAATGACACCACATTCCTTTAAACTCTTTCAAGAGTTTATCATTCTTCCAAATGTTTCATTAAAAGGATAGTTCAGAATTATCTTCATTTTTCTTTGTTGTTTCTAAGAGACACACTAACTACTTTGCCTAGTAGCTTCCTTCTGGAGTGCCCTTGTAATTGGTTTAGATTCTCCTCTCCTCATTTTCATTACCATCCTCCCAGTGTTCACAATACTTCTCAATGTTTTTACACAATATGTTTTTCTTCTACATTTACATCACCCTGGGTAAAATTTAAATATACAGACGGCTCTTTCTGAGATTCATGACCTCAAATTCAATGTTTGTTTCCTGTGTTTTCCCATTATATGCATGCCCAAGATTGAACCACATCATTATGATAAAAGGAAAAATCCCTAGTTATGAATAGGAAGAAGCTGACAGAAGATAATCTTTACGTTTGCAGTGCTCAGAAAGGAAAAGTGGAAAAGGAATGTTAAAAAAATAAAATGTTCAAATTCACCCTACCTGGGAGAGGCAAGGGAGATGTCCTTGCTCCTTTCCACCTGTATTCTACATTCCTCTAACATATGGCATAATTCATTGTTCCTTCTTTCTCATGTCTCATGAAGGAAACAAAACCCTACAGTTTTATTTATAGTATGAAAATATTTCTATAAGTTTTGTTTTGTCTTCAAATGTATGTTTACATATTTATGATACCAAATTTTTCCATAAAGGATTTGAAAAAAAATACCATAGTTGCTGAACAACATTCTCTTGTACCTTAAAATTAACATTCTTTGTTCTTTCAATATATTTTATTATTTTTAAACTTTTTTAGGCATACGTAGCAGGTATATACATTTCTGGGGTCTATGAGATGTTTTGATACAGGCATGCAATGTGAAATAATGCACATCGTGGCGAATGGGGTATTCATCCCCTCAAGCATTTAACCTTTGAGTTACAAAAAAATCCAACATTACATTCTTGTCATGTACATTCTTACACGTACATTACATTTTACATGTACATTCTTACGTTCTTTAAGTTATTGTAAAATATAAAATTATGTTTTTATTGACTATAGTCACCCTATTGTGCTATCAACTAGTAGGTCTTATTCACTCTTTCTATTTTTGTACCCACTAACCATCCTCACTGCCCTCCAAACCCCACTAGCCTTCCCAGCTCTGGTATCCATCATTCTACTCTCTGTAAGGTACATGTGCAGATTTGTTACATGGTTATATTGTCTAATGTTGAGGTTTGGGCTTCTAGTGAACGCATTTCCCCAGGAATGAATATAGTACTCAAAAGGTAGGTTTTCAATGCTTTCCTCCCTTCTTCCCCCTTTTTGAAGTCCCCACTGTCTATTATTTCCATCTTTATTTATATCCATTGTTTAGCTCACACTGTATAAGTGAGAACATGCAGTGTTTTATTTACTTTTCTGAATTATTTTACTTAGGATAATGGCCTCAGGCTGCATCTACGTTGCAAAGGACACGATGTCATTCTTTTTTATGACTGCATAGTATTCCTATATATATAGGAATATATATGGAATATATACATATTCCTATATATATATATTTTATATATATATAGATATAATTTTCTTTATCCAATCCACCACTGATATGCACTTAGGCTGTAATAAATATACAAATACAGATGTCTTTTTGGGAAACTGACTTCCTTTCCTTTAGGTAGATACACAGTAGTGGAATTGCCAGGTGGAACAGTAGTTCTATTTTTAGTTCTCTGAGAAATCTCCATACTGTAAAATCAAAATTATTATAAAGATGGTGGTAAATAGTGGTTCTCAGAGTTTGGTTCCCAAGTCAACAGCATCATCATGAGCTGGATGACATTAGAAATAAAAAATCTTGGTCCAGCTCCAATCTTACTGGATCAGAAACTCTGGAGTGGGGTCCAGGGACCTTTAACAAGCCCTCTAGGAAAATTTGATGCTGCTCAAAGTTTGAGAACTATGAATAATTGTTCTTAATCCTGACTATACATTAAAAGTACCCGAGTGCCTTTAGATAATATACCTGCGTAAGACTCACCACAGAATATGGAAATCCCAATATCATGATAGGAGTCTGCAGGTTTCACAAAGATTCTGCTACACAGTGAGGGTGGAGTCTCACGGTCTCCTTCACCTTGCAGAACGATCTCAGGCACTTTAAACTGACTATTGTTCCACCTCAGCTGAATGCTCTGCAAAGTCATCCCAAACTTCCGTTTTCCAATTCTTCATACCATTTCTCAGGCTTCCTGTTTCTCACCATATCTTCAATACCATACCATAATTTTAACAATGGCCAAATGATATGAGGGAATGGGTTTGTATCTTCTTTATTTCTGAATTTCAAATTGTATAGCTTTTATAACCAAAACAATTTTCCTTTATAAATAGTTCAGTGTGTGTTGTTCCCCTCTATGTTTCTATGTGTTCTCACCATTTAACTTCCATATAGGTAAGTGAGAACATGTGGTATTTGGAGGGTGGGAGAAGGGAGAGGATCAAGAAAAATAGCTAATGGGTATGAGGCTTAATACTTGGGCAATGAAATAATCTCTAACAAACTCCCATGCCACAGTTTATCTATGTAATAAACTTGCACTTGTACCCCTTAACTTAAAAGTTAAAAATATAGTTCAATATTTAAAATATTTTTAAGTAGTTACACTGAACAAAATTTTAAAGACTAGTAAATTGTTTAAAATGACCAATTATTTAATAAGGAGTTATTTCATTATTATAAGATGTAATAATAAAATTAATTCATGCATTATGTTCATGAGTAGATAAGTTAAATATACTCATGCAGGTACTACTGCACATTTCTTTACCCTTTTAAAAAATAATAGAAAAAACAACCTCAAACCTTAAGACATATGTATATATGTGCATAAATGTATATCAATGTATATATTTAAATGTTTAGATTTCTTAATTTATTCAAGCCCATTACTTTACAAAACAATTATACATTTTTGTACAGTAACAATATGATTCACATGTCTATAAATCACTAATATCTAAATATATCATTTCTTTCTTATCCTTGGAGTGAAATATAATCTTACACTAAAACAGTGACTAAGATTATATGATTTATTATTTTATTATGAGTAAAAATATTTTGGTTTAGGCATATGTCATTGTCTGTTTTAAACTATGTTTGTGACTAATGCAAAAAGCAGAAGTATAAAACAGGAGCTTGACCATTAATGATACATCATATTATTAAAAAGTGAAAAAAACATATTTATTTGAAGTATATCATATTTGAAAACATTTATATTCTAAATGTCAAACTTTTAAATAAAACCATCAGCATTCTGGATCATATTCTAAAATTATATTTTGAAACTACGGGCTTTTTTGTAACTTTTTATGTACTCATTTTGACATTTGGAAATTCAGCTTGTTATGTATTCGTTTCTGTTACTTTATTAACTTACAATGTATTTTTTTTGTAAATGAATTGAACATAAATAATTTAAATCAATACTTTTTGGAAAAAAAATGTTTACAATATATAATTGACCTGTATTAAATCCGTAACACGAGGATTAAGATATCTATAGGTAAACATTCTTCATGGTAAAATAATTAGATATAGAATTATTTACCAAATAGTAAGTTATATATGTCCTATTATCATTATTATTCTTCAATTTCTTTAACCTATAATATAGTTGAAAGAAAGAACTTATATATCTTTTGCATTTCTTTCCTATATTTTCTCAAACCTACTCAAACACATTAGACTTGCTTGTTGCTTGGCTGCAGTCCTTATTTCTTTTTGTTTTCTCCCCAAATAAGCTTTCTTTCACTTTCTGAATAATTAAGTTCTTTTCCTCCATTTCTGAATGTAACCCTGAAAGCCAGTGTTTGATATCCAAGCAGGCATCAGTGCTAGAGAGCAGCGCACTTTCTCAATCTGTAGATTAACGTCTGAAATAAAAGCTAACTACAGAGTTTTGGCTAATTGAAAACTGGGATACTCATGCATGAATGAAAGCTACATATAATTTAAAAGTCTCATTTAAACCATTAGTTTTAGTGTTTTCCCTGACTACATCTCTTTATAACTGAGTTGTTGAAAATTATGGAATTGACTCTTGAGTTTTACCGTCTTTGGTTTCCTTTTATTCTGCTGTAACTGCAAGAAGAATGAGCCTAGCAACGACCAAAAAGCAAGAAGTAACATGGGGAAAATGAAAAAATACTCTATAATTCACAACTCTTTAATAGTTAAGAGTCAATTGCATATGAATTTATCCGTGTGTATCATTTCAATATTTATGTGCCCATATTTTCTCATTCTTTCTTCTGGCTCCACAGTGCCTGAGTCATCAACTTTATTAGATGTTTCCTGGATTTGTGTCATAATTCCATCTTAAAATGCAAATTTCTGAAGGAATGAGGTTTCATGGTTTTTAGATTCTGTATAGCACTGAGAATATTAATAAATATTATACATACATAAAGTGTTATTCCCCTTATTGGATTTATTTTGTTTTCCCTCTTACGATGGTTCATCAACCTCTTATGATGGTTCTAGAAAACTGAAAGTACTTATATGAGGTCACATAATTGTTTATGGATATAAATCCACTAAAATTTAAATATTAATTTACTGTACATTTAACTAAATATAAGAATTTAAGTATTCATCTGATTAAGTTTTGAACAGATTTCTATGTGTACTGGAAATATAAAAATGAGTAAGACCTTTATCCTATTTTCCAACATTTTTCTATTTAATTATGGAGACCAGCAAGTAAGCAGATTGAATAAAATACAGCCTTATTTCCAAAACACTATTTTTTTCAAGCATCCTTTTCCACCAGATTATAAGCTTCTCAAAGGCAAAGCTAGTTTCTTATTCATCTTTGTATCTCCAGAGCTCATAAGAGTACTTTGCCAGTTTATAACTTGGCCGAAGAGATTTTTGGTGTCCAGAAGTAGGATCTACAGTGTAAGAATATAGGAAAAAAATGTGTCTTTGTAAATGGGGAATCAATAAAGCATAGAGAAAGCCATTATCTGACTATGCTTCCCTCAGCACAGCACTGATATAAGTGTTCTGAAAAGTGTCACCATAATAGCAACAGTAATTGCAACAACCACCCAGCAATAATCGAAATTTTGGCCCTGAATCTGTAAATAGCCTGGGAAAGAGATTCTTGGGGATTCTTATAGGACCCAAAAGTGGCTTAGCGCCCTTAATTGCCTGCCTTAGAGCACCAATATACCATGTAAAATTCAGGCTATGGATCTATGGGGCAAGAGAAATCTCTCCGGATCTGATCCATACTGATCATTCTGACTCGTCATGCTCTGACTTTACAGCCACAGTATTCATCAAGCTCTCCAGCAAGAGATGTAGCACTCTTTCTGTTTATCTTGATGATGGATCAGATGGCATATCATTTCTGTACTATAGTCAAGGTACATTTAGAAAGAATTTTATGTCCAGGATTGCACTTTCCAAAAAGAACTCATATTTTCCTAACTACTTATCCAGGGGTATTTCTGGTATCGACTTCTAGATTTAGCATTGGTAACATCAGGAAAGCTACCAAGGAAAGCTTTCACAGTAGCTCTACCATCTAAGCACACAGCCCAGAGAAGGGCAACAGGGCAGAGGGATGAGAACTCCTGTGAGATGACTTATATCTCCGTTTTAATTATGCTTTTTATTAACCTGATAAGAATACAAAAATGTTATCAATTTGCTTACCAATTTAATGTTTGTATTATTCTATCTTATGTCCTCTAATTTCTTTGCCTATGTTAGAGTGGCTTATCTTAGATTTTAACAAGTGGAAAAAGGAAAGGTATATGTATGCTTCTAAATAAAAAAAAAATCACATTGAAGAATTTTGGCTTAAGTAAGAACTTCTGATAAATATACAGTCTGAATGGGCAATACATTCTGACATCATATTTTCCCTATTAAAATCAAGGCCACATAATACAGTTTATTGGCAAGGTTCCGGGATCCTGGAGCCATGATGTTTTGTTGAACTCTGGTTCTGCCTTTCCTTGCTGATTGTTTGACTTTAGGCAATTACTTAACCTTTGTGTTTATTGATTTCTTCATCTGCAAAAAAGGGCTAATGATAGTCCCTACATCATAAGGATGTTATCAGGATGAATGAAATAAAGATATCTATATCTACATCTGTATATATATCTATACGCACACATGCCTACATATTACGTGTGTGTGTTTGTGTGTGTGTAATTTAGAAGAAAGCCTAGAAAACAGTGCCAGAAAAATGTTTATATGTGTGCACGAGTGTTTTTAAAAATAGTTTTTAAAGGAAATTAGTCTCTGTGTGGTCTGGAAACTCCAGTAGCTGTGGAAGAGATTCCTTCGCTATTTCAAAAAGTGCTTTTTCTTTTTTTTTTGTTAGGCTGGGAGATAAGAGTTTTGTGGTTTTCATAGACTGCCAAGAACTTAATTTGCATACATAAATCTAGATATGGAAAGATGTATTGCAACATTGTCAAATCTCATCTGGACATGTTACTGGAAAGTATAGCTTTGGGAGCTACCAAACATCACCAAATATGTTATCAAGCTGCAAAAGAAATCAAATGCACTTTAAAATGTCCCTTTAGTGTACTCTGTCAATATTTTTTTTCAAAGAACATAGCCTCTGTTCTAGGAATTTCATTAATGTGTTATACTATCAAAATGTCAATTTGAGTGAAACTTACAAGTAAAAAGCCATTCTCATAGAAGAGTCAGAAAATCAAATCAAGTACAATTCAATAAAAATGCCTAGATAAAATAAAACAGAAGAAATTTATATTAAGCTCCTGAGAAATAAATGCTTGATTATTTTATTTTCAGAAACTATTAAAAGTTCAACAGTCATCTCTGGTGAAGGAGTTCAATTGGACTCCAAAGAATTGTTTTATGTCAGCTGATTGAGGATGAGAACGATTATATCACCCAGAATGACTTGCTGTCAACTGGTACACTTCACTGAATTCACACAAATAATTCCCAACATCAGTTTTCTAGTTTTTCATATGAAATTTGGATTTTCAAGAAAGGCCTATAGAATATAAAGCCCCAAATTTCACATGGAGGATAAATCTTAAAAGCCCTTTAATATTAAATTGAGAAAGACTCAGTGAAAAAAATTATAAAACTGTAGTGATGCCTCACAATGATGAACTTTTTTTTAGTCTAAAGAGTGACTTTTCAGGAAAAATAGGAGGTTAAATTACAATGTACCAGCATGGATTTCTTGGTATACATCTTTTAGTTTTTCTCCAAACTTTGCAGAACAGTATTGACATAATTTGGAAAGGATGCTTAGAAACAATCAACCAAGAAAAAGCTATTATTGATCACATTTTGGTGCAATTTTTCTGATAATCTTCATATAACCTTAATTACATTCAATGACATATGTTTCTTTAACCTGAAGAATTCCTAATTTCTAGTCTTAAATTATTTTTCCAAAAGTTTTCAACTATATCATTACCACAACAAACAATATGCCTAGAGAAGAATTCTGAGTTTATATTAGATTTTTGTTGCACAGATACAGCTTTAAGGCCTTTGTTTTCACAATTTCAACAGAATAAATCAATACTTTGAAAACTTTGCTCCACAAAGCTACTAACACTGAATCCTTCTGTTGTAGCATCATTGAATGACAAAGCTGAAAAGGAACTGGATATCAGGGATCACAAACCCAAATGCTTACAGGGGCTACCACACGGATATTGGACAAGAGGACTTAAGGTAACCTGGGAGAGCATTTCTGATTAAAGGTATTAAATTTCAAAAAGCCATGTGAAGTTGACTGAGCAAATCTTCAGGGAGCTTCAAGAGATCTTAGTTTCCAACATTGATTTTATCCAATGAGGAAACTGCAGCCCCCAGAGTGTGCAGCATCCAAAAGCACATAATATATCACAGTTGGGGTTAGAATATAGTGACTTCCATTCCAGTGCCCTGTCTGCTTTATAATTTTCTTCTTCCAAAAGCAATGTTTACTGTTGTTCTCCAACTGTGTTTTAACAAACATAAAATACAGCAAGTCTAACAAAAAGACATGTAGGGCCAGAATCTTACAAAACAGGATGTCAGATCTCAAAAATTCTATAGCTCTAGGCTCTTAATCTTGTCATAAATATTTTGTATCCTTTATTTTCCATATAGGGAAATAACCAAGCCCTCCAAATAAAGGATTTTCTGTGCCCTGTCCACATGGTCCATCTAAATGCAGCTCAGCAGTCCCAATTCCTAGGAGTCCAGATTGAGCTTTAAGACAGATGGCAGCAAACCATGCAGAACATTTCTGCAATGACACAGCTCATTTGTTTTTCTCTGCATAGAAATGACCTCTATCTTTCTGTTCATGGAGTAATGGATAACATATCAGACCAGGAATCAGGAGATCAATCCCAAATTTGGTTTTGCAACTGACTGTGTGCACATCTTGAGAAAGGCACAACTTTTCTAATTTTAATTTCTTCCTCTCTGAATTGAGAAGGCAGAGAAGATAATCTCTAAAGTTGCTTTTTATATCCCTGGTATAAGTGAGTTTTTACACAGGTTTATATACTTTTAGATGAAAAAATGTCATGTGATCAGAAAAAAGATAATGGAAGAAAATTTTCCAGCATACAATATTTGATAGATAATCTTCACTAGAACTAAATTTAAAGTAAACAGTAACCCTCCAACACTTACTTAACTGCATGAACTGGTGTCTATCTAGAAATTATATGGGGAATTTTATAGCCAATAATATTATTAGCTTCCTCATTGCCAAATCCATAGACCTCTTTAATAGCCTTTATGTTCTGCAAAATTGGACACTGTTGTTCACCTCCACCCTTCCTCTATTTTAATCTTGACTACCAAGACAACAATCCCTTGGGAGCTCTCTGTATTTCCTTAATTAATTAAATTTAATTTCAGGCTCTTGGCTCCTTTTCCTAGGCCCTCCTTTAAACATCTGTCAATGGTCCCCCTTGTTCACTCTGTGATCTGTGCTAGTGTTGACTCATCCACCCTCAGAATCACAACCACCACTTGCAGTTGCTAATAATGCTCAAATCTTGATTTTCACTCTAACCTCTCTCCTGAGATAAGATCAGTTTTTTATGCTCCCTAAATATTGTACAGGCAACTAAATACCACCTGCTCCCAAAACAGTTCTTCAGTGTACTCAGCAACCTCCATGTTACTCAGGCTAAAACCATGGCATCATTCTCAAGTTCTTGTTTTCCTCACCTCTGACATCAAACTGGTCATCAATACCTTTTGATTTGTGGTGGAAATGTTGTATGAATACATCTCATTCTGGGTAATATCATCTTCTGGCTTATTTCATATCTTTGGCATGTGGACTACTGCACTAGCCTCCTAATTAGCTTCTATCATTCTAGTTTTCTTCTATCAAACCAATTTTCAGGGTTATTGCCTGGATTCTCTTTCTACAACAAAAATCTAATCATGTGATTCTCACTGCCTTAAACATTTAGGGATCTATATTATATGTGGGATAAATCCTAAAATTCTCAATATATCCTCTAACATCCTTCAAATTCTAGACTGAAGCCCCACATCTGGCTCCCATTGTTCCTCCAACAAACCAGGGGATGAGCACAGGTTTATTCTTTAAGAAACATGTGATGCATGCTCACGCTACAAAATGACTTTGAATGTCCCATCTCTTCCGCCTAGACTATACCAATGCTTTTCTAATCTGTGAAGCCTTCTCATACCCCCAAATGTGGTTGGTGGTGCAATTCTATGACTCCCAGTAGCATTCCCACAGGTCTAATAAATATACATATATTTGCGGAAAAAAACAGACCAGATTATAAACATTAAGACAGTTCTAGAAATTCTGGTGTGTACGCTAGTTGCAAACATGCCTTTGTTATAAACTTTGTAACAATATTTCTGTCAAATGCACAGACCATGTCTTGCTCTCATTTATATTCCCAGTGCCCCAACACACCGCTTTAAGCATTTGCTTGATGAATTAAGTAAATGGTTCTTGGATTTTCTTTTTCCAATGATAAAAGTTAAATCAGTAGAAAAGAATGGGAAGGTCTCTTTATAAGGAATCTTCAGGAAAAGTGAGTTTTTACCAAAAAAAAAAAAAATATGGGTTTTTGTGCTTAGACTGTCAGAATCACATCTCTAAAAATCAAAGAAACATAGTCAGTAGTGAACTCTTTTATTTTTTACATAGGAATTCAGATTAAAATTTTATTTTTCTTTTTACTTCTAATACAAATTTTGTGGGCTTTTCTTAAATTATAAAAGATGCTGCTAGTCTCCAAGAAGCAGAAATGTTTGTTTTCACCATAAGCAATAATTTATTAAATTAGAACTTTCTTCCTAGGACAATAAACTATTGAAATATAGAAACTGACCTGCAATTGACCTATATGTTGGCCATTCCCAAAAGTCAGTAACAGTCCATAGAATCTCTTATTTAGTTTCATATTCTCCATGTTACAGTTAAAGTCTGTTTCTTGTTAGGAATTTGGCATCTGTGCAATATGGCTAAAAGGACTTCTAATGTGATAACGTGACCTCTACATGACCCTGGAAAGTATTTATCAGGACTTCAACATTTCTGGACCAGTACATAACAAGCACCATATAAAATTTAAAAATCAATGGTATAAAAACAATCTTTCCACTGAGGTTGTTTTTTTTTTTAATATTTCATGTATACTTTTATTAGAGACCCTGCGGTCATGCTAAAATTTATTTACATTTGTCTTAACATCTAGGTAAATGTTTTTCAACTGTAACACTGTTGAGCTGTATATTTCTTTGATGTGGAAGGTTGTCCTGTGCATTGTAAAATAATTAGCAACATCCTTAAATCTCACTAGATGATAACAGATGTCAGTACAAACCTCTTAGATACTGACACTCAAATATGTTATCAAGCATTGACAAATGTCCGCTGGGGGCAAAATAATCTCCAGTTGAGAACCACCGTTTGTAGTGGCGACCAACTTGATTTATACTTCTTTATATAGTCTCCACATAGTACAATGTGAGGCAATAGGTATTGAAAGAATGTCTTTAGAAAAAAATAGTAAATACTAATATTTGAAACTATACGTCGTATTCTATCTCAGCAATTCTACAAATATGTCTTAGCCCCAAGGTATATCCAATCCATAGTGCTGATAGATGATAAATTATCCTCACCCCTGGGAAAACCTACAGAACCAACAGCATTTGACTTCCTTCTCTATATGTAATTAACACAATTTTTTATGTGAGGCAGAAAAAATTTATAACCACTCATCTTCAGGGATTATAGACTCTTAGTGCAAGTGGGAAATAAGATTGCCCTCTGTGAGCTAACCTATCGAACTGTCGCTTACCAGGTAAGACAGAAGTCATAAAAAGTTATCTTAAAGAGGTCAATTGTCTCCCACATTGGCTAACCTTGGCTGTGATTTCACTGAATCCATTAACAGCTGAAGATAGAAGATACCAGTTAAAGAAGAACCACCTGACCTGAGAAAAATAGATAAAAGAGAAAAGCATAGAGGAAAATGTAGGGTCCAGCTGATCTAAGAACTGACTCCATGTGGCACATTATCTTTTACAAGTCACATCTTCATATTATGTTTTCATAAATAAATTACATGAAAAGCTAAATTATCAGAGGTTTGCTTAGCTTGGCAGAAAATCAGAACAAACTGAAGTCACTATATGACAGAATGTTTACTATCTTTAAACATTGTGATATGAATATAGCCATGTCCAACAGGCAAGTTCACCAAAAGAATGCCTGTAAAAAAACCCTACAGTGTCCCTCCAGAGTGTACCATGACTTTGTGGGCTTTTTGCTGAATGTATTTTTCTCCTTGGAACCTCTCATTTTTTTGCCTTTTTTGTTTGTTTGTTTGTTTGCTTGTTCTCTTCATCTGATTTTAAAATGAACATTACCCTATATAATAATTAAATATAGACAAAATGAAGTCACTGTCTAAAATATCCTTTAGGAAAAAAAGAGTTGATTTCTATTTGGGTCTTCACACATGTCTCATGTTACGGGACAGTCTGTAATCACATTATTTAAAAAAAATAAAGTGCTTTTTAGGAACACATATCTAATTGAAAGGTACTGAAGAAATGATGGTTTTGGAAAAAGAAGTAACCTGATAGATTCAGTTAAAAAAAAAAAAGAAAAAGAAATAAATTTAACACAAATTGACTCAATATCCAAGGTGGTATATAACTTCATCTTTTAAGCGTCAGTGAAGTTTTGTGGCAGCCACAAATATATACCTCAAGATCAATTTTTAAATTATTATTATACTTTAAAGTCCTGGGATACATGTGCAGAAAGTGCAGGTTTGTCACATAGACGTACACGTGCCATGGTAGTTTGCTGCACCCATCAACCCATCATCTACATTAGGTATTTCTCCTAATGCTATCTCTCCCCTACACAACCCCCGCCCCGCAACAGGCCCCAGTGTGTGATGTTCCCCTCCCTGTGTCCATGTGTTCTCATTGTTCAATTCCCACTTATGAGTGAGAACATGTGGTGTACCATCATTCTCAGCAAACTAACATAGGAACAGAAAACCAAACACCACAAGATCAATTTTTAAAAATATTTACTTTGTGGAAATTCATATGGGTGGCTTGGAATAAAATCATACATAGATTTCAAAAGTGCTAAATTTTTAATGATTTAGTAGGAAATGATTATATTGTAAATCTGTGTTAGATAACTAAAAAAACATGAATAATGTAGACACAACTGTAGAATATATATATAAGAAGAATGAAGAAAATTGTTTCATAAAATGCAAATGAAAAAATGATTAATGAAAACTTATTGTGTAGTTGCATTAATAAATTAAATATCATACATTAAAAAGATGCTTAATCCACATTTCTAAACATTTATTTTTATTGTCTTGTTCTCCCTTCTCTTATTTAAAAATCTTTATATTGGGAAAGAAGAATTTACTGAATACTAGGGATTGCCACCTTGTTGGGCATATATACCCATTTAAAGTAGAGCTTTCCTTTCCTTTCCTCTGCTAAGATAATTTAGGGGAGACCAGAGCGCTTTATTATAAATACATACATCTATAGCTTATTGAAGTTGAGATGATAATTTATATATATATATATATATATATATATATTTATTATACTTTAAGTTCTAGGGTACATGTGCACAACGTGCAGGTTTGTTACATATATATACATGTGCCACGTTGGTGTGCTGCACCCATTAACTCGTCATTTACATTAGGTATATCTCCTAATACTATCCCTCCCCCCTGCCCCCACCCCACAACAGGCCCCAGTGTGTGATGTTCCCCTTCCTGTGTCCAAGTGTTCTCTTTGTTCAATTCCCACCTATGAGTGAGAACACGCAGTGTTTGGTTTTTTGTCCTTGTGATAGTTTGCTGAGAATAATGGTTTCCAGCTTCATCCATGTCCCTACAAAGGACGTGAACTCATCCTTTTTTATGGCTGCATAGTATTCCATGGTGTATATGTGCCACATTTTCTTAATCCAGTCTATCATTGTTGGACATTTGGGTTGGTTCCAAGTCTTTGCTATTGTGAGTGGTGCCACAATAAACATATGTGTGCGTGTATCTTTACAGCAGCATGATTTATATTCCTTTCGGTATATACCCAGTAATGGAATGGCTGGGTCAAATGGTATTTCTAGTTCTAGATCCCTGAGGAATCGCCACACTGTCTTCCACAATGGTTGAACTAGTTTACAGTCCCACCAACAGTGTAAATGTGTTCCTATTTCTCCACATCCATTTAGGTGTATATCTCGCCCATTTTGAAGAACAAAAAACTTTCAGAAAGCTTAAACATTGTATTAAAATGATTATCTGTGACAAGAAGACAACAATCATTATAATCATCTAACCTGGTATTTTATTGCTCTGCAGACTCTGAAAGGTAACAGCAGAAACAACTTCCTTCCACCCTGTGTGTGTCACTGTCTACAGCAGCATGGAGAAGTCAGGCGAGTGTTTCCCATAAATTCAGTGGGATTCTTATGGTAACCGTGGGAAGAAGAGAGTGCAGGACTAAAATAAAACACATATGGTCATTTCTTTTCTTTTTTCATTTTTTCTTGATTTGAGATATTGTACTTTATTCTATGCAAAGAATGCACTTGGTTTTATAAATGGTAATAGATTCAGTATTCTAACACTCATTTCTCACCTTGAATAAAGAGACTGCATTAACATAATCAATTAATCTCACTTGTATCTTTGATAAGTCATACTTCCCTTCCAGAGGTTAGAGTTTCTGATACAAATTTCACTGAGTACTTGCCTCTTCAACATTTTTATTGAACTCGAATCAGGTAAAATTAAAAAGCCCAAGGTTAGTCATAAGAAAAAAATACAATTATGAAAAAGAAATGCATAGCCTGAGGGGTGTTCTTGCAGATCAGGGAGGTGTGCCATGGATTTATACCAGGCATATGAATTTAGGGCTGTCTTAGCAGTTGATGCTAAAGAAGCCACCTCTTTCTACTATGGATACATTCTAGTTTAGCAGTTGAAGAACCAGAAAAATCAACTTCCAGAAAAACTACTCCATTTCATCATATGCAAGCTAGGTCTCTACTCTCTTCCCCAAAGCAGGTCCATAGGCTTAAACATATCAATTCATAGTTGATTCCTTGATTTTGCACTTTCCACGGCTGTAGGATTCATATCAAATATGTTCATATGCACAAAGAAGTTTAATGAAATTTCAGTAAACGCAAGTGGAACAATGGTAATTACCTAAATGAGTTGTTGAAACATGAAAGCCCTCCTTTTCATCACTACCAGTGATAATGCACCCAAAGCTGTCAATCAGTCTCTCTCTCTTCTTTCTGACCCTTATCACTCCCCCATGCCCAACCTCAGCATATACATACTCACACATAGAATTTCTATGTGAAGCAATGGGTGTTTCTAATTTCCTTTTTTTCACTTTATCTTGGTATCATTTGCTCTTTGAATTGATGCCAAATCATCAATGAAATGTTGAAAGACCACTAAAAAAAAGGTTTTTGTGATTCCTATAGATTCAAAAGAAAAAAAAAGAAAATAGGAGAAGAGAAATTGTATCTGTAAGAGCTTTTCTAATTTTTGGAACTGGTTTCTAATTTCTTCACATCTAAACATTGAGCGCTTAGCCAAAACACAACTAGGGATCACAAAGAGTATCTTTCCAATGTGTAACTGTTAATTAAACAGAGGCATCAGAGTTCTCTTATAGAATTTATAATATGACTTAAATTAATTTATCTTACGCTCTCACTCTCATTGTATGCTGTTCGTTTTGAGGTGTAATTATTTGTGCCCCTATCTACATTGTCCAATATGGTGGTCACTAACTACAAAATTTTAACTAACTTTATATTAATTAAAATTCAATAAAGTTAACATTCAATTATTCGGTCACACTAGTCATACCTAAAATGTTCCATAGCCATATAGGCCTAGTGGCTATTGCACTGGACAGCATAGATACAGAATACAGTATAGATACAGATCATCACAGAAGGTTCTATTGAAGCACTAATAACATCAGGGACACGGACTTAAAAACCAACTAAGGCAGGAATAGAAAAAGAGTTTATATTTACCCTGTTGGCATAATAAACATATATTTCCAACTCATTCTTCATCCTTTCACCAATTACTTTATATAACTTATAAGAGTACCAACTCTCTACAAAACATTCTATTAAGTGCTAGTACATAATTAGGACACAATACACCACACATTTTAGTTCAGAGGCTAGCAAACTCTAAAGAACCAGATGGTAAATATTTTAGGCTTTGAGGACCATTTGTCCCTGTCATCACTACTCAACTCTGCTGTTACAGCGCAAAGGCAGCCTTAAACAATGTGTCATCAAATAGACGTGGCTGTGTTCCCATAAGACACTATTTACAAAACAGGCAGTGGGCCAGGTTTTGCCTGCAGACCATAATTTGCCAACCTCTTGCTCTAGCTGATAGATTAGCACTTACACAGTAGGTAAAATAACTCCGTATAAGTACAAGGTATACTGTGATAAATGCTGTACGTGCAAAGTCTTATGGAAACACAGGGTTGAGAGACAGATTTTGACTGAGTACTGAGGAAGATTTCCCAGAAGAGATGAGACATAAAATGGGTCTTGAGAAATGAATATGACCTCAATAAGTAAATATGGAGAGAAGGGAATTTCAGCAAGAGGGAACAACTTGAGAAAATACAAAAGGCGTAACAACATAAGACTTGTTCAATGAGTCAGTGGCAGATCACTCTAAGTGGAGCTGACAGAGGCACTAGAACATATGTTAGTAGGAGGCAGTCATGTTTTGTAAAACTATCCTAGGATGTTTTTTCTTGACATCAACAAAAAGCGGTAATTCTCTAAGTGGTCCATGGCTTAGCTATATCATCTCTGGTATTTGTTAAAATTTAGATTCCTGGGCTCCAATCTGCAAAAATTCTAATTCAGTAGATCTGTCGTAGGGCTTAAAAGTCTCCATTTTGAGCAAACATTGTTATGACTCTGAACACACGAACATTTGTGAACCACTCACATCCATGGTTTTTTAAAACATCCCTAAACACCCTTCCTTAATAATTTAAGAGAAAGTAAAGAGTTTGAACATTTAAAATAGGCAAAACATTTAAGAAAGGCTGAACAATGTTAGAATGATTTTGAGCCCATTTTGAAACTTTATCCCTTCTTCAAGAAAAGGTTTTAGAAGTTTTGTATTTACTGTTTAATATGATTTCAAGAAGTTCCTCCCCATTCTATCC
This sequence comes from Homo sapiens, assembly GCF_000001405.40. Classification (NCBI taxonomy): domain Eukaryota; kingdom Metazoa; phylum Chordata; class Mammalia; order Primates; family Hominidae; genus Homo; species Homo sapiens. The sequence continues at coordinate 68,717,975 of NC_000006.12, read as the reverse complement.
TATTTCAACTCAGTGAATAGATTGTGTTCATTATATCGTTTCAACATTGAGATTTTATCCATCAGTTATTCTTTCTACCAGGCCTCAGCTTTCTGAAATAAAATATACAATTTCTTTTCATTGTTCTCACTCACATCCTTGCCCTCACATTTTCTAGAACAAATCATCTGTCCACTGAAATTTCTCCATATTTTTTTCTTGAGACACATTAACAAAGCTTACATAACATGGTAGATAGAAAATAATGTTTTATTAATTTATAAAATTTAAGAAATATTTAGTTTAATTTTTATATCTTTATTAAATATGGCTAGTGATATGAAGAACACTTGAATCAATAGAAGTACATGAAATTCTTAAAAAAAAATGGTGCTTCCAGCGCTTTCCCAGTACAGGAGCTCTCTTGGAGCCAACTGCCTTATAAGTAGAATCACTTTTCCCTAAATGCATCACCTTGCACTTATCTACACAAAATCTCATGTTTATTTTACCCATTTAGGAAGACTTTCTATAAAATAACTTTCATTTTATTTTCCTCATTTTGGACACCTACAACATTTTTAGATTAAAATTTGTTATGATGTAACATTCTAAAACATATCGTTTTTAATGCCAAGGCTTTTATTGAATATAATTTGAATTGGGGACATTAGCATCTATAACTGTGGCTCTAAATTTGGAATTATTATAAAATGCTATGAATTATATATAGATATATTGCTATAAGAACCTTTATAAGAACTGTGCATGTTTAACACTTAAAACTGTTGATACGGCAGAAGTAAAATTTTCCCTTAAAAACTGGCCTTTACTGAAAGGTTGTTCAAGGCAAATTGAAGCAATTTATTGATAAATATGTTATAAAATGTAGTGGTACTTTTTGAAAGAGAGGGCCATTTCAACAAAACATTCTTGAGTAGAACTTGAAAACTGCCGAATATCCCATGTAGAAAGATAAGCTCCTACGTGAGAAATGAAGAAAGCCGGCTTTATCACAATGTCTCTTCATGGAAAATAAAGAACATGAGAATATTAATAAATCCTATAATAAAGAAAAAATATTTGAATCTTAAATTTACAGGCTCATAGAAACTAAATCATTTTCAGAAGTCAGAGCTTATCTCTAGGGAACAGGAGGATAAAACATTTTGCCTGGATGCAGACTCTCCACAAATCACCTAAATATGTCAGCAAGCTTCCTGGTAAAAGAATTAAGAGCAATGATGAACTCAAAAAAGTTTAACAATTAGCTCTTTCAGGGCAGAAGGTAAGAAGTGGGCAAGGGAAGAAGGAGAGAGCTCTTATTTGCAGTGTTTGTCAATATCTATGGTGTAAATACTCCTACCACTGGTGATTTCAAGCTACTACTGTGATATTCCTGAAAGCAAAGTTGGAAAGAAATGCTAGCTCTGTGGGTTGCTCTGAGTTGCTCCCCTACAACTCTAGGAAAAAAAAAAAAAATGAGCTGTGATGCAAATTTTAGCGGGTCCAAATAAATATGGAAAATACAGTCTATATTACAGAACCAGTAAAACATGGGCCCACAGTTGAAGAGAACTTTAATATCTTCAAGGTTCTTTCTTGATCATGGACATGCTAAGAAGTTGCAAGAATCAGGCAGGATAATAACAATTCAATCTTTCCAATTAGATTGCACTTATAAATATTGTCCAAATAAATAAATAAATCTCCACATAAAATGAACACATGAACACCTACCCTATATTTTAATTAAAGCAGCTGAATGGATCAACTCCAGGTATTCCCAGACATTTACATGAAAAAAGCAATGTGGTCACTGAAGAAACTACAGATTTTATTTAAATTAGAAAAGCTTGGATTTGAATGCCCAGTTTACCAATTATGATTTGTATAACCTTGAATAACTCATTTGACATAGCTGAAGTTCAATTTCTTCTTTATTTAATCTATATAATGCCAGTCTTGATAAGACAATGTAAGTCAAATATTTGGCATTTTTTTGACGTTTAGACAGGTTAAATCTCAAGGGTGGTCAGCATTCCCCCGCCACCAGATGCATACACCCCAATACACCTACTCCAAGAAAGAGTGTAGTGGTTCCTGCAATTTGTGGGCTCAATAGTCATTTCTGCTCTTATTTTGGGGCACATTGTTATGTAAAATTGTTTCCTTTTTTATTATACCATTGTGAGTTTAATTCTTTTCTGTTAATTGTAGCCGATGGAACCCTAATAGACACAAGGGAAAATAAAATGGCTGATTTATAAAGTTAGGATAAGAATTAGCATGTATGTAAAGCAACTAATGGAATGATTTAAACAAAGTATATTAATTGCCCATACATTTACTAAACAATTTCTTTCCCTCCTTTCAAAACTTTGAAATATGGACAAATAACAATCTTTGAAATATCATGGAAGATTAGTGGGAGAATGAGCTAGGCAATGAGAAAAACCTTGGCTCTAGTATGGGTACATCACTTATTGGTACACATGACTATGGCAAAGTCATGCCCTTCTCCATTCCTCTTGCTCATTTATTGAAAAGGGTCTAATATTGCTGAGTGAAGAGTATTATTGTGAGGAGCAAACAGAAAATATAAGTGAAAAGATATCACAGATACTTGGTATTTGATATAACCTCAGTAAACCTTCTTCACAAGCCCCTATAATGAGACAGACAGAAGCAGGATAAAAATAAAGTGCAGACGTGCGTTACACAATCTGGAGGGCTACTACCGAGAGGCTTATAGAAACTATTATACTCCTCAGCGATCCAGTCAAGTCTCTGATGCAATTTCAATATATAGAACCATAATGGTTATTAATATTAATGTACTTTCCAATTATTTTCTTATCAGACTATAGTTTTGCTGTACTACCTGCCCTCTGCCATGAAAGAAATAGTTTCAAAGTCTTTTGTGTTTTGTCATGAATCAAAGCTATTTTTAATGCAAAGCTGTAATGATGATAAATATAACTACTATGCACTGTAGTGTTCTTTGCTAGTACAATTGATGTGCACTAACTCATTTGATTCTCCTCACAACCTCAAATGTGACATGGATTATAGTAACCTTTTTTTACAGATGAGATCACTTAATCTCATCTGTAACTTAATCTCAGAGAACTTAATTCCCAAGGGTTACAAAGCTCAAAGTGTCAGAAAAGAAAAGGAATTCCAGATGTAATTCCAAAGTCTATATATTTTTAAGCATTGACTATATTAAACTAGCAGATATTTTAAGATAAAAATCAAATGCCTTTTATATTTCCCAGTCTGTTGAAAATGAATCACTGTTATTCCTGAGATATACCATATATCAAATTATAAAATTTATTCTCTCACAAGTTTACCATTTTACAAACCCTTCAGTATTTTTCCCTTTATCTTCATTACATATACTTTTTAGATTGAAAACAACTTTCAACACAATGTTTCAATACACCAATGTTTTGTGGTACACAGAATATTCAATCAAGCTGTGTTTTTTCTACCTCCTCAATATTTTTCATCATTATTTTCCAGATCGGCTATTAGGCAAAATAAATAGATGAGCCTAGCTGTGGTTAGTGCACACCTGCACATCAGCCATCCCACTGTCACCATATGGTGACAAAAAAAAATTTGACTAATTAAAAATCTCCTTATTGTTTTGGATATGGTCTCTTTGATATGTTTTTGTTTTTTGGAACTAAAATGTTGCTTAGGTTGTCAGACTACCCTGATGAAAGCTCAACAAGTTTTTAAAATAATATATAAGTAGTGATTTCTTTTGAAATTCAAAAAGCTATCAGAGATTCAAGTCTGAAGTACAAATTAATACCACAAAGGCATGCAAGTATTTTATAAAAGTTTTCAAGCAATTAACAGCTTACATTTTATAGTTAAAAAAATGAGTACAAAGTGCTTGGATTGTATGTTGCCAAAAAATACTCTTTTAGAACATCAACTATTTACTGTCCTTCTCATGAATAAAGTTATTCCATACTAATCCTTTTCTATAAAATGCCATATATAATTTTAATGCATAATATATAATGTATAAACAATTATTTTAATCCAAAGATTGTTATAATTTAAATTTGATAATAAATCTGTAAGATCTATATAATGATTATATAAAATTCTTTCATAACTATACATATAAATAGATAAATTATCATGGGATAATAAATATTAATTTCAAATTCATAGATGTAAAACTAAAATTGTAGCTTGGGTTTAAAGATAGAGAGAGTTGTGAGTAAATGAAAGGAGAGGAGTTATACTTCGCTACTGTTGGAGTGTTCAGTCTAAAGAAAAGATACTAGATGGGAGGTTACAATGTAGGGGCAAAAAGAGGGCAATCTATTAACAAGAAAGGTACCACTGGAAAAATAACATGAGAAAGGGAAGTGTAATTAAAGTTGGAAAAGCAAATAAAAATGTTAGATAGAGTTATGAAAGTTCCAGTTGATTCAGAAAGCAATGTATAGTCAGAAAGGGAAAGAGTGGCAGACTGAGAAGCAAAGATGGAGGCAGAAATCAAGTTCTAGTGGACAGAATGGTTCCAATGCTCAGTCTGGGAATGATTTTGTGACCATATAAACTATGCCTAAGAATTAAGAAGCATCAACTCCAGGAAATCAGAAAAAAATGGAAGTTGGAATCGTCCAGATATGAAGCATTTTCAATGAGAGCAAGTAAACAAATGGCAGATGCTTTGATTATTTGATTCAGAAGAACATTATCTGAATAATTTGTTCACAAAAATTGGAAATCATGGAAAAGTGCCTAATCCATTGATCTCTCAGCCATTTTATTTCCATCATGGTGTCATTGTGTTATTGTTGATGACACCATATGGTATCCCTAATTAGATCATAAACCTAAGTTTTATCTGAAAGAAAAGGCTGAGAAGTAAAAAAATCTGCTGATTCAAAGTATAACCTTCAGCTATTTCAGAACAAGGCAGCATTAAATATTCTGCTGTATAAATAAAAAATTGCTGTCAATATTTGAATGTCAAAGAGGCATTTAAACACATCTACTAAATTGACCAAAATCTATAAAGTTCCAAAATGAATTTATAAAAAAAATTATTTTATTAATTAGTAAAATTATCAGTATCTAATAAGGTTTATTTTTAAGAAAGCAAAACTTTGAACTCTGAAAACTAAAGCTGTCACACTACTTTCAAGTAAGCAAGAAGTATCCTTAACTACTAAACAGTGAGTATTCCCAACAACAGTGATAAAAATTGAAAGTGTTTATTATCTAAGTAAACAGGGAAAGCAAAATCCATTCAACTGGTCTCAACATCCATGATCATAATTTACCAAACCCCTCTCTCATATTTTTCCCTCTGTTTTTCTTTGTCTCTCTCCTATGTCTCCCATTTATTAGTCCTTCCTCCTATATTTCTACATTTTTTTCTGTCCCTTTTTTCACAAAACATCTTTTCATACCCTCTGACTTTACTCATACATTATTTCTCCTTCTGATTTCTGAAAAATGTAATGTAGTGTTAGAATAATATAGATTTCTAGTGATTTTGACAAGGTAGCAATAAAACACGCTAGAGGCAAAAATTCACATTTGCATTCTAGTGTTAGAAGCAAAACTATTAAAATGCAAAAAAGAGTTTAAAATGAATTTGAAATAGTAGCTACTGAATGCCTGTGGTGTCGATCAAGACCAAAATTGCTAATATAGCTGTGCCCTTTGCCTTTTTTTCAGTCACCAAAAATTGCCGCCTCTTTATTTATGAAAGGAATTTTATCTCTGCTGAACTCAGATAAGTTGCAAAATGATGTTATACGCATAAATTAAGCCTCTGTCCAACTCCTGTTTCATAAAAATTTTAGTGCACTTTGAAATTCAATAAATTTATTAATAATATTTTGCCCTCAGTCATTATTTTTGGAGATTTAATTCTTACTTTTTAAAAATATTTACCCTGGAGTTATCTTTTGTTTCCATAGCCTAATATTTCAAGGCAAGAACAGACAGAATCCTTAAGATACATTCCCATTAAACCTATGCCTTCATAATGAAGTACATTCTGCTAAAAGTAACACCTCCCAGTCTTACCTCATTAGGTAAGATATTGTCACTGACATAGAGCTTAGGTATGTTGATAAATTTTCATGCTAATTATGATTATCTTGCTAAGGAGTAAGAAACATGTTTATTTGAGTAATGTGATGACTGTGCAGATATAAACTGAGTGATGATTGAAGCCATGAGTATGAATGAATCAATCTTATCTATACAGAATGAAAGAGAAATGGACCATCAAGCATGCTTTTGAAGGGATGGGCTAACAGCAGACCCAGCAGTCAAGTCAACCTCAGTTTTGCTGAAGTTAAAATGTAATTAGCTTTGTTGGGCTAGCTGATTCTTCAGCCAAAAACCAACAAAGAAAAACAAAACAAAACACGGATGTTGGCAGAGGACCATTTATGCAGAAAGTCAAGGTAGGGACAATTTCCAAAGGCATACTAGAAAGCAAACCTAGCTCCTATTTCATTTTGAATTAAGACTTCAGAGAACTGCATATAAATGTTTTTTTCTGGCATTTTCATAATTCTCAACATTTGCTAAGTTCGTAAATTCTGTTTGTTTTCTTATGAATTAGCCATAATCACTTGTGCAAAATAGATATTGTTTTTGAAAACTTCTTTGTAAAAATAGAGATTGGAAATCAGTTTTCCAGCATTCTGGAAGGAATAGGAATTCAAGACAATTTTATAATAACTGTAAAAGAGAGAAGAGAAAAATCAAGCAGGTCACGCTCTTGGTAGGAGAAAAGAAATAAGGTCTTGGCTTATGAATCCGAGATCTGGAAAGATAAAGATAGCATCAATTGCCCTCGTTCCATGAGGATGCAGAGAACTGGCAGGGAGAGAGCTGGCCTGGGTAGAAAAACAAAGAATGTACTGATACATAATGGAGACTTGCTGGGGTTAATTTCACAGTAGAGTTTGAAGGGTGAAAAGGGATCAAGGGAACTAGAAAGTTTTTCCCTTTTAAAGGGAACATTTCCCCACCAAAGTCTTTTGATTATTTCAAGAAATGGGAGGAAAGAAGGAATAAAAGGGGTCCCAGAAAGAAAACTTCCGTGGGAGTCAAGAACACAGGGAGATTTAAAACTGTGGACTACACACCTCTAGGAGTTCAATTCCCGTAAAGATGCCAGCTGAACCTAAGGCAAAGAAATGATGAGAAACACTGGGCTAATAGGAATCCCCAAATCTAAGGCTCTGAAATCAGGGTTGGAGCCAGGGTGACCTGCTAATCATCAGTAGTTTCTACAAAGGAATCCCTTTTAGGAAGGCCAGAGTAGAGATATACACTGCAGAGGCCAGGCTGGTGCATTGGTACTGATTCCAGTTCATTCCCTCAAGGTCATTGTGTCAGGAGGAGAGAAGGGTCTGTCTTAAACTAGAAATATTATGAAAATAGTTTAGATGTAGGAAACAGAAGCCGACTTCTTTAAACACTCAGCAAAAGCACATCTGCAGCCAGGAGAGAGACCAGATAAACCCAAATAACAGATGGCATTTGTCATTAAGAAATGCCAATGTCAATACAAAAAAATTAGTAATAAAGGCAGGAGCAGAAGAGTGAGAACTACCCAAAATAAGAGCTGCAGCAGAAGAGGTGGGAGCCTGGTGAGCCGGAGGGAAGGAAAACAGAAACCCACAGCACCAGAGTTAGAGTGGAAGTAAGTAATAACATTCAGAGAACCAGATAAAAAAAGGGCTTACAGGGAATGATTCTTTTGTTAAGATCTCAGGTTAAAAGTTATATTCAGAACACTTTTCTACAAAAGCATTATCCATCCTCCCCACTTGCCAGCCTCTGTAGCCCCCTGATGGGGAGAAGTTAAGAGCATGAGCTCTGGAGCTGGACCACCTAGGTGCACATTTGCTGTCCACAGACTAGCTCCAGGACCTCAGATTACTCCAGTGCCCAGTAAGTGCTCAATATGTGTTAACATGTGTCAGCTATTACCATTATTTTAAAGTAAGATTTAAAGAAAAAGGGGAGAGAAGAGCAGTAAGGAATGCCACAGGCAAGGGCTAAGAGGGGCAGCCAAAAATGTAGTGGTTTTCAGCTTCTCAAACACTGAAGCACGTAATTATTTCACCAAGAGAGAAATACATCTACTAGAAGTTGTTCTTCAAGAGAAATATGATATTTAGGTTATTTCTATAAACAGAAACGTCCTTTTGCATACGTAGTTTGACATAAATAATGTATTCTGGTTTAATATTTTAATTTATGAGCTATGTCCTTGATGGAAATGATATTCCTTCCAGAGAAAAAAATGACACTATTTGAAAAAAATAGTTGCTTTGTTCTCTCAGTATAGCCATTCACATATTCAATCACATGGACAAGCTCCACACCTCCAGCTGAAATGTTGAGGCACAGTTTAAACACTGAAAGTTTCTGAAGCTTGAGAAAACTAATAAGAAAAGCCCCCTGATTCCTCTGGCAAATTCATTAGTGGAAAAACCACTTAGTATTCAAGTTACCTATTGTTATGTAAAATTATTTTCTTAAATCTGATGCATTTTTGTGAGGGATGAAAACATCATGTCATTTAAGTATTATAATTTTTGCAAAGTTATATTAATTTAAAATAGTGTGATAGAGCTTAATACACATTTTACCTCTTGTAAAATGCATTAGAATATGATTAGTATGCAGCACTCCATCTCAACCGGAAAAGAAAGAAATCAGTGTGACCAATGGAAAAGCTATTCGCTATTAAATAGCTGAAATAGCAGCAGGTCTAAAGTATCTGCATCTCATTTTGGATTTAATTATTGCAATAACATCTCATTTGCTTCAAGGTATTACAATTATCTTCTGTTTTAAATTGAAAGGTATTTTAGAATGAATGCAGTTAATGCAGTAAAAGGTTCAAAATGTCCAGAGCATTGAGCTTTAAAGTAGAACAACCCGCATTTTAAACAAATCCTTACTAAAAGACTGCATGAGAAATGCATTTCCTTTCATCAAAATCCCAGTGATTGTGCCTAGTGAGATATAATGATTTTTTTTCTGATTTCAATGTTATTAAGTTAAAAAAAAAGTGACATTAGGTACAGATTGGTAATAGGTGTCGACATTAATGAAAATCAAAACAAAAGCTCATTTTCAGAATTTCCTTAGATACTATTTGCAAGTATGAAATATTCACTTAATTTTCAGTAAAACTATTTTAAAAATGAAATCAAAGGAAGCTTTAAATCTGACATGGATCAACAGTAAGATATTTTCTTCTTAATTAGCTACTCTTGAAATAATTCAAAACATTTTTAAACAATATTTAGCACAGACGTCAGTGGTTAGGAACTTTTAAATGTTAGATCTATTTAATTGGACGTCTTCGGTTTTGTTTTTAAAAAATCTAACCACGTGACATGTTTCAAACTTCTGTTAATTTTACAGATTTTATGTATCTTTGAACTGGGCCCTTTAGGAAATTTCACTGGAGAATGTCATTTTTCTTAGGTAAGGATTACTCGAGGACAGGGAATAGAAATGCTTTCAAAGAAGGCTAAGTCAAGGCCAATTTAGCCACTGGGCACAGTGGGAGGCACAGGGTCCAGGACCCCAGATACATTTTGAGGTCTTTAGAAATGCTTTAATTTCTTGTGAAATCAAAAGAAGAAAATGTTCTGGACATTTTGAACCTTTTGCTTCACTAAAAAGTTGAACATAATATAGCTTGGGTTATATCTCTCTTTATACTAATGTCACTACAATATAATTTTATTATTATTATTTTTATTGGAAGCAAGAAACCACAAAGTCAAAATTGCCTCTGGCCAAGGAATGTATGGGTCAGCCCTGGCTCAAATACAAAAAGTCTGTTACCTGAAAATTTCATGGACCCTAAGTGTACAAATTGAAATTCTGCCTCAGAATAAGTGGAAATTCTCCAGATAGTCTTTGTCTTTTTTGCTCTTGGTTAATCGTCAAGCTTGCTGGGGTGCTTGTCTGTGTCTCTCTGTGACTTTACTTTCTTGTGTCTCTGCTTAGCCATCCTCTTGCACAGGAACTTTGCCCCTGAGGCACTGACTTTCCCGTTCAGTTCTACAAAGCTAATGGACTTAGTCTAATTGTCCTTCCTTGTGTTAGTGCTGTACCTATGCCTTCCCTCTTGAGTCTCTGAGCAGAGACTGGTTTTCTAATAAAGGAAAAGTAGGGGGAATGATAATAACTAATTTCTTAACAGTTCTTACACTACTGGAGTTCTTTCTAAAATAATTCACTCAATTTTATCCATCAATTTACTTCATATTGTGATTACTGTGAATTGATGAACTTATTTTAATAAGAACAAAGATTATTTCTCAATAATTTATAAGTATAATTATTCAATTAATCTCACAAATACAGAAAACTGTATTTTAATCTTTAGCCCATTTGATTGGATTATGTCAATTATGTTAAATGTAAGCAACTAATACATAGGTAAAAATAAACTCATTTTTTCATTGGCTATAATTTTATACTAATAAATGGCATATATTGGGAATATTTTCCCTTCCAAATACACACACAAACACAGATAGACACAAATGGTTTTACCTCACTAGAACAGGACATATTGCCGAAAAGGAGTTTCTTAAGTACCTGGATGAATCCAGATGTGCTGCTGAGAAGGAACGTATCTAAGAGCACAACAATTCAAGCAGATGTGATTTAAACTAGATTTCAGCCTATTTGGAGGCCAATTTCAAGATAATCCATTAGACAATCAGTCCAAATAGACCATACGAAAATGAAAAGATGACTTTTAAATCTGTTTTGTCACTGATATAGTCATTGTCAGCAAATCCTTCCATCAAAACAATCTTTTTTTTTTTTTTTTTTTTGAGATGGAGTCTGGCTCTGTTGCCCAGGCTGGAGTGCCGTGGTGCAATCTTGGCTCACTGCAAACTCCGCCGCCTGGGTTCACACCATTGTCCTGCCTCAGCCTCCCAAGTAGCTTGGTCTACAGGTACCCGCCACCATGCCCGGCTAATTTTTTGTATTTTTAGTAGAGACGGGGTTTCGCTGTGTTAGCCAGGATGGTCTCCATCTCCTGATCTGGTGAGCTGCTTGCCTCGGCCTCCCAAAGTGCTGGGATTATAGGCGTGAGCCACCACGCCCAGCCTCCATCAAAACAATCTTAATTATAAACGACTAGCTATGGGTAGACTACAATATTATATATGCACTGGGAAAAAAATTATTACATATGCCTGTAGTAACACTAACATTTAATTAGTTCTCATTAAGTCCCAAACTTATTCTCAGAACTTGTATGTCTCATACTATTCTACAGCAGACAATACCATTATCCCCATTGCATAGATGTAGAATTAATGCATAGAAATATTAAGTAACTTGCCCAAGGTCACATTGCTAGTAAGTGGCAGAGCCAGAATATGAACACAGGCAGCGTGGCTCAGAGCTGGTGCTCAAGTCATGCTGCTGCTACAGAAACAACACAAACATGCAGATGCACATATGTGCCATACACATACGGTCACCTCCATTATTCGTAACAAGCTTTTTCTTATAGCCTAGGTATAGTAAAATCCTATGTTCACCAAAAGGAATGTGTGCTGCTTTAATCACATCACCATATCTTTTATGGCAAATTGAGGTACTTATTTTTCAGTCCCTAGTCTTCCCCACCCCAGCCAGCTCCATCATTGCTGGGTCAAAATTTTAGCAGTGACTGCTTTCCTCTAAGTCCCAGACCCTATAATGTTCCTTCTTCTCTTTGCTCCTTTGGGGGTGATAACAGCTTCTCATTCTTGCTAGTGAAAAAGACTCTATCCTTGACCAAACTCTACTCAAGCCTCCTCTGAACGCTTTTCTCAACTACATCTAGACCTTTCAACCTCTGTGACAACCTTTGCATCATCTAATTTTAGCAAAAACCCTGTCAGTTTAGAGAGAATGCCCCCCACTTCAGTATTTGATCACCTCAATATTTGATCAACTTCCTCATCCACCATCATCCTTTAGATGATATCTGATCACCGTGGCCTGCCTTCACTAAGAATCCTGTCAAGCTGGGTTAGCCAGAATCACTCCTCACCCCTGATGTTTCCTCTTTGTAATTTTCTATCTACTGACTCCCACCCTTCTGTCTGGATGTAACTTCTCACTTGCCCATGCTGTATTTTGAACTGACTCCAGGACTATGCTGAAGTATCTTTTCCACTATTGCAGTAGCTCCTAAATAAAATCTGTGCTTGTCACTTTAACTACAGTCTAGCTCTATTATTTCTTCAGCGCTAGTCCCTGAATGTTTCCGTATCTCAGATTAGTCCACTTAGCACTGCCCACACCTTTAAATAACCCTTTCGTTAAACTCTCTTCAATTAAACCCTTCACATGTCCATCTGGTTCTGAAGGTGTGTGGTCGGGGGCACTGACAGACACAGAGTGAGACACAGAGTTAGAAGCCTAGATTGTTTGATTCCATCATGATTCTTCAAACAAACACACATTTATATTAAAAAGGAAAGGAGGAGATCCTGAAATGCGTTATCTCCCTTTCAAGACCACTGAAATGCTGATTTACATTACAATGACTTTTAGAGAAGAGAGGCTTCAGAACTTAAGTCAAGTATTCCAATTTATTGAGCATTTACTCTGTGCAATTGAAAACACAAATAGCAATGGATAAGCACTGGAGAAATCACAGTCCCTACACTCTTTGAGCTTAAATTCTAGTGGAGAAAACATACAAGCAAACATTATATTGAGTGTTACAGAATGCTGTATTTGAAAATATGACATAGCTAGGCTACTCTTCATGTTTAGGGTAATGAGCTAGAGGGAAGGGAATGACTACAAAGTTGGTGCCTAATAATAAATAGTAGCTGGACAAATAAAAAGGAAGCAAGAACATTCTAGAAAAACAAAAATCTGTGATTTGTTTTAAATACAACATTTCAAAAATGTAGCTTTCTTTTCTCTGGTAACTATTTATAAATGCATTTTGTAATTTAAAAAATATTTTCCCAGTATTTCTCTAAATATTTAATTATAATAAATAGAGACTGATATGTTTAAAGCGTAATTAAAAATATTGTTTGTGATATAGCTAAATTACTAACCAGATGTTATAGCTTTCAAAGACTGTTTGTTTCATTTAGATTTGACACAAAACTATACCTAATGATACAGGATTTTACTTTCATTGATGGAATTTCAAGCTTTACCTGCTAAAAGGAGCCCTTTGCCACAAAGCAAGGTTTTCACAGATTATTTAGCACTGATTTATCAAATCAAAGCATAATTATACATACCTGTGGACTCCAATTAAACTGGACATTTCAAAGTTCTTGTTTGTTTTCTTTTTAGAGCAAATATGTACACTCTGCTTATTTATGTAGGCTCCTCTTAAGTAAAATAATTTGGTTCTCATGAATTCAGTCAGAAGGGGAAAATATCAGAATATTGTGTTATGAGACTGTGAACTGTGACCTTAATAGACTTCTAATCTCAAAGTTATTGATAGAAATATTTTCTAAAAACAGCAAAAAGCTTTAAAGTAGGTGAATTCAAATTTGTTGCTGTTAAAAATAGCTGCTTCCCAGAGCATGCTGTTCTCTTCTTAACTTTTAATGAACTCTTGAAAGCTCACTTGAGAATGATAATCAGGTTGGCATTATTCTCTAAGTGCCCCAAATCTAAAAGCAGAGCAAAACTGTTAAAACAACAAAGATACAGTATTTTAGGTTAATAAGCCTAGATGCTTCAATAACATCATGCTTTGCTCAATAGTCCAGTTTTCTTTCTCATATTTTATAATAAATTTGGACAACCTTCAAATTAAATGTACACAGTGTTTCATAATAATTTATGTTTAAAATGTCAAAATGTTATTCAATGGTAAAATGCTGTATAATCAAATAGGTCATAAACATGTATTAGGGACTAATATATTGACAACTTTTCACTAGTAAGCTTCATGCTAAAGCCCCCTTTAAATACAAAGATGACATTTAAAATTAAATTTTGCAGAAACATCTATCAATGACAATATACTAATTTTAATGGCCGGGCACAGTGGCTCACACCTGTAATCCCAGTACTTTTGGAGGCTGAGGCAGGAGGACTGCTTGAGGTCAGGAGTTCGAGACTATCCTGACCAACACGATGAAACCCCGTCTCTACTAAAAATACAAAAATTAGCTGGGCATGGTGGCGGGCGCCTGTAATCCCAGCTACTCAGGAGGCTGAGGCAGGAGAATTGCTTGAATCCGGGAGGCGGAGGTTGCAGTGAGCTGAGATTGCGCCACTGCACTCCAGGCTGGGCAACAGAGCGAGACTCTGTCTCAAAAACAAACAAACAAAAAAAATCTTAATGAATGGGGTTCTTTTTATTTAATATTTTAGGTATTTTGTAAACATATGAATTAAATCTTTGAAAAAAGAAAATTCCCTATGTAGAGCCATAATTTAATTTACAAAATCAGTGTTGAAAAATAATTCTTCTGGAGTAGAATTATTGTATAAATTATAGAAACATATATATAGTTAAATTCAAGTCTGAATCTGACCTTTATGACTATAAATTGATACGCTCAAAATTTCAAAATTATACTTCTTTGACCCACACAATGGTAGTAGCTTATGGGAGAGTGTTTATGTTGTATTTAAGCTTGCTTTTCAATTTTTACCAAATTAAGGGAAGCAAAAATATTAATTTATAACTCTAAATTATTAATTCTGAGTGATAAAAAAGATTGTTTTGAAATCCACAAAATTTAATTTGTTCAACATTATGGCCGCTTTAAAACATACAGTAGAGTTGAAGTTATTTTACAGTAAACAGTTATATACCCATCACCTTGATTTTACTACTAACATTTTACCATACTTGTTGGTTAATACCTATCCTTCATTAATCTTTCCAACCACCCATCAATGCATCTTATATCTGATGCATTTTAACATAAGTTAACAATATTGAATAGCCAAAATGCCAAATTTAAAATATTTAGAAAAACATAGGTCTATTTTAAATACCCTGCAATAATGGCCAAAAGTCACATGAATTCTGTACAAGTTCTAGCCACATACATATGTATCCAGAAAACAAAAGCAAATCCTACATATTTTATATTTCAGTCGAATGTATCAGCCAGGGTCTGATCAGAAAAACAGAAACTACTGTGAGTGGTTCCAAAAGACCAAAATATTACCGTAAGATTTTTATTGATTATTTTATCTTGGCTGACTGTAGAGTCTCTCATTTTTCTGTTCATTTTTATTAATAGAACTGAAATATTAGGGGGCTCTAATATTTGAAAGGAAAATAATTAGAGTGCTGAGTTCTCTGTCTTTTTGGCCTTGAATCCTTTCCTATCTCCTTCCTGCTTTACTCTGTAGAGCAGCGAAACTGATCCCTGTAGGCTGTCTCACTGACACTTAAGTCAATAAGAAGTCTAAAAATAATTTGATATATTGAATTAATGCAGTCAAAGACTATATTTCCAATTTAATTTTGCAGACTCATAAGCAATTTATCAATCCTGCTGATACGGTTTGGATCTGTGTCCCCACCAAATCTCACTTTGAAATATATTCCCCAATGTTGGAAGTGGGTACTGGTGGGAGATAATTGGATCATGGGGACAGATTTCTCATGAATGGTTTAGTACCATCCCCTTGGTGCTATTTTTGCAAAAGTGAGTGACTTATGAGATCTAGTCATTTAAAAAAGTGTAGTACTTCCCTCCCTCTCCTCTCTCTCTCTCTCTCTCTCTTTCTCGCTCCTGTTCTTGCCATGTGACATGCCTGCTCCCTCTTTGTCTTCCACCATGATTGGAAACTTCCTGAAGTCTCCCCAGAAGCAGATGTTGCTATACTTCCTGTAGGGCTTGCAGATCCAAGAGTCACTTACTCCTCTTTTTCTTATGGATTACCTCATCTCCAGTATTTCTTTATAGCAGAGCAAGAACAGCCTAATACACCTGCCAAACCAGAATAAACTGTGCTTGTCCAATAACTCCTGTATCCCGTAGCTTGAAATAAATCACCAAAAAAATCTAAAATCTTCATATGTTTATAAACATCACTTCTATCTTTAAAGAGTAATTAGGATAGTGGATAAATATTAAAAAGGAAGATGTTTCCTGGTGTGTTACGACTGTGCCATTTGATGTGGGAAATTTCTGAGTTTCTTCTTTGAGGCAGAACAACAATAATGAAGAGCCAATTTAAATGTTTTTCACTGCACAGAAGAAAAATGAACCTGTTTTGGTCCTGTTGTTTTGCAAGCCATCAATCAAAAGAGCCTTGAACCAAGATGTGGCAAAAAATGAGATTTAATAAAAGAAGCAAGTTTTCAAGAAGCTGCTCTATGAATCTGACATGAGGAGGAGCTATAATAATAGCCACACCAACTTGCAAATGCAAACTTTTCTCCTCTGATTAAATTATCTTGTAAAGATATATACATCACAAGAAGGTGAATAGGTTTCGTGTTACATATTAACTCAGATCAATTGGTAGTGACAGCCTGGAGCCCTGTATTGAGTGTGACTGGATTCTCATTTGGACCAGGTGAGGAAGAAGGCCTGACTAATGATTGATGTCTACTGTTGGAAAGGATGGAGGGAACTAACAGTGAGTCATGCTTGTTTGTCAGCCCAGTCCCAAACAATAATCTGAGGCTATGTTTCAGTCAGTGGCTATGAAATATCGAGGCAATGGAATTGATTTATTGGCTTTACTATTGTACCATTTTCAACACTGCGAGATTTAGTCAGAAGCCGTTTTCTTGCTGACAAAAATAAATGACAGTTTCATAGTGGCAACTTTCATTGATTATTCTAATCATTTTGAAGTGCTTTTTATAATTTAAAATTAAATTTACTCTAATTTCGGCATAGAATCAAAGATATTCATTAGGATACTTAAGTCTTTCATGTGTTCTATGAAATTCCTTGACTAAATCTACAAAACAAATTTTTTTATAGTTTTTTAAATTATTTTATTCTTTATTATACTTCAAGTTCTAGGGTACATGTGCACAACGTGCAGGTTTGTTACATATGTATACATGTGCCATGTTGGTTTGCTGCACCCGTTAACTCATCATTTACATTAGGTATATCTCCTAATGCTATCCCTCCCCCCTCCCCCCACCCTACGACAGGCCCCGGTGTGTGATGTTCCCCTTCTTGTGTCCAAGTGTTCTCATTGTTCAATTCCCACCTGTGAGTGAGAACATGCGGTGTTTGGCTTTTTGTCCTTGCGATAGTTTGCTGAGAATGATGGTTCTTTACCTTAGTTACAAGGAAGAAAAAGACCTAAAATTTCCTCAATTCCATGACAACTAACAAGTTAGTTGTAAAGGGGTTTCTATTTGTCTTTTCTATACTGAAATTGTTTAATTATGATGGATAAAGGGAAAACACATTACAAATAAAATAACACTGACTATATTTGGTATTGTTTTAATGGCAGAAGTTAGAGGAGAAAAATTACAGCAGATCTCATTTATACTTTCCAAATCCCTTTTCTATGATCAGATAATGCTAAATTGATTCCAACCGTTTATAGATTTCCTTTTTAACCTCCTCTTATATTGATTGCAGTGAGAAAAAAAAAGGTGTTTTGAAAATAAAGTAGATCTACTCAAGGGAAAAAAAATGTAATGTTTGCCCTTAAGGAGTATAAATATTTGATAGCATACTTATTTAATGCCTTCTTAAAGATTTCTTGTTTGGATTTGAAACTTCTGCCCTGTGTCCACATTAAAGTCCTATTCAAGACCCTGTCCCTCCCTTTGCCCTGGTCCACCTAGGCACCTGAATGTGTTTTTGCATTATTTGTATAAGTATCAAAATTTGCATTAAGGTGAAGACCACATGGTGTTTATTTACCTGTTCTTTTACCCCTTTTTCTCCTCTCGACCCTGGAGGAGTTTGTGTGTGTGCATTTATATGTTTTACAGATTCCCTAATATGGTTATTATATATCTTCACTATTCTATGATAAAGGAATGATTTGAGTCACACAGTTAGGAGTGAAGATGTCTTTGAAAATAGGAGGTACCTGAGAAATATCAGTGTGGACGACTGCCCTTTGCTTGAATCCCTTACTACACCTCCCTCTAAAGGCAGGGTTGTCTTCTATTTGTCCATGCCCCCCACCTACTGCTTGGGTGAAGGGAAAGAGGTCCCTAGGACTGTTGTTCATAATGGGCATGCTCCAGCACACTAATTGGTCGAACTGCTCTCGGTGGTGATGCGCAATCAAATTTCCCCAGCTTATTATGTCACTCTAAGAGCTCTGGGTATTTGTATTCTGTTTGTGATTTTTGCCCATGCCCTCAGGCCTGATTTGGGTCTCAAATGGGAGATTCTCTTAATGCAAAGGAACCTATCAGATGTTAAAAGAAGAGATTGTCTGAGTAGAAATAAATGTAATCAATCAAGTACCAACAACTATTACAGATAATATTTTTAGTTTCTCATAAATATGTCTCAAAATATTAAAAAATTTGTCACCCAAGCTGTGAAAGTTTCTCCCCTTCTGCCAGTATTCAAAACAAATTAATACATCCCAAGAATTATTTCTGTTTTATTTTATAAAGATCTTTGAAATACTGATCTCTGAAAAATTCTAGGAACACATTAGCTGGATTTACTCTTTAGAATTGCCTCATTTACGTGCTAGTTTTTCTCTCAATAGGAGTAATTTACACAAATAGATGCACCCATCTGGTCAAATTTATTGGCCTGAAGTATCTGCAAAATGTAAAGTGATTATTCAAAGAACAAGTTTCTCTAATTGTTGTTAAATACAGAAGAGTTAATGTCCATTCATATTGTAGAAGTGGGTGTTTCACAATTTGTGATCCAAAATATGTAGAAGCTAAGGGAATGTTTTCAGTATAAATAAATGATTCATTTTAAAATAATATTTTAATATTCATTTTATTAATTTTCCTCCAGGGAAAAATTATACAAAAGTTAGATAAATCTGTGTTGAAGTAAAAGGAATCATAGATAAAAATTAAAATCACCTGGGAAAATTTGTACAAATAATCTATATGCCTAGACCTACCTATTAGAGATTTTCAATCAACACATCTAAGATAGCATATTTGATCCTTCCATTACCTGTGACTATTACCTGTGTCTTTCATAGAAATCACAAAAAGCAGATCACAACACCGTCTATTTAGCAGATCTTCCTCAAATCCACAGGCTGGAATAAATATCTTTTCTATTTGCTTTCCTAGCACCCTCTCACTAAACCACATTTTAATCTCATTATCAATAACCATGTTCTCTTTAAATTACCAGGTTCATTTTTTAAAGGCTCCTGTGCTCATTACTAACTCTCATAAAGGTAAGAATGATGCTTTTGTGCTTGTCATACAGCAGACATACAATGATGTCACTGAGATAAAATAAATTTAAAAGATAGAACAAAATGAATGTAATAATCTCAAATAAAATAAACTGAAAAAATTAAGCAATTAATACACGAACCTTCCTAAGAATCAAGAGTTCCTATTTATTTTGAAAAACTCATTCCCATTCTTTATGGTATGATTTAAGTGCTTACTTGTTGGTGCCTCCTCATTGGTTTCTATTTTTGTGTTACAATCTTACACATTCTTAAATGAGCACTACCTCATTTAAACATTCTCTAAACCTTGCATTTCTGTGTTTTAATTGACCTTTCCCAGTTTTCCGCACTACCAACCACATAAAAAACATTCAGTTCCAAAGTGTTCTAAATTGCAAGACAATTCAATGAAATCAAAATATAATTTGTATTTCATTGGTTAGTTTTAAATTTGAAATAAGTGGTAATATTTATAATATATATTATAACCATAATAGTTACAATACCATATGTTTATGAATCTGTATCTATATCTATCATGTATATAGCATTTGTGTAGCCAGCTAATATCTATCATCTATCTAGCTATGTATCTTATATCTGTTTATATCTATATCTGCCTCTCTATATGTCCATTTGATCCTTACAATAAAACCAAATAAAAGATATTATTAATTCAATTTTACAGATGAAGAAATATAATTTTATATTATATAAATAACTTGTACAACATTATTTGACTATTAATTGATGGAGTCAGAATTCAACCTCAAGTTCCTCTAAATGCAAATCCTTTGAAAGTCTTCAACAGCAAAGAGCTAGTCCTATATCTGGTAAACAGGGCAATGTGGAATAAAAAGAAAGGTGTCTGTTTTGCCAAATCCTAAAGATTAAATAACAGGTGGCAAGCAATGACATTGCCCCTATTAAAATGAGTGACAGTGCTGTACAGTTTGTTTCACTAAAAGAGAAGACAAGGAAGTCTGAGGATGATTTCTAGACAGGAATCATCATTATACAGAACCAAGTAGCTAGGTCACTCCATTAGACTGATTGAAATTATTAAGATAAGTAGTATGAGTCAACACTAAAAATGTTACTATGAAAAGCTTAACCTCCTGCAATAGAAGAGAGAACAAAGAAATCCAGCACAAAAAGGCATTCCATGTATTTTTTTTAAAAGAACAAGTATATAAATGAGTTTACATGCTCGAAGAGAAAAATTCATTTGCCACTTAGACTAGTATTATAAGCATTGATCAACAATGATGATCAAAGCAGGCCATATATACAAATTTCTAAGTTTAAAAATATCAAAAGCCTTACTTTAAGAAGTCCATCTTAAAATAAATCCCAAAGAAACTGGTTAATTGAAATGAAACAGTTATTTATGAAATTTGCTTTTGTCAACAAAATGCAAAAATAATGCCCTTCCAAGAGAGAACAGTGTAAAACTTATTTCTAGACATTAATATGGGAAGCTTTCTTTTTAACATAAACTCAAAGTTGAACATTTTGATTTCAAGGTTTGATCCATCCAACACACAGTTCCTGAGAGAGAGAGAGCATCTTCTTAGAATTCTTTGTGGTTCTCTGAGGTCTTTTTATTCTCACTGACTGAGCTGACTGAATAGCACAGGTGACAATTCTCTAAGAGTAAGAAGTACCACAGTACAAGACATTTGCACAATGGAATCAATTTACAGGAGGACGAAAGGTTTTTAAATTAATCAAAGTAGTCTGGAGTTTACAGATTTTCTTTAAAGAAAATGCTTATGCAAAGTTAACTACAATTTGTCTAAATTTGCTTCATGTTGACCTCCTGTAATATAAAAATAAATGGTTAATTGTCCTTGACTAAAGGACCTGAACACTTTATGATTGTTAAAATAGTTTAAAATTTAACTATTTGGAGCCAAGTTAGAAACTGACATTTAATTACTGGTAATCATTAGAAAAAATTATATAAATTTGTCATATAATGTGAAAAAAATTATTCTTATTATATTATAAATGTAAATGTCCTAGAAGGAGCTCATAAGGAACATTTTCCTCCATGTCAGAATAATAATACATCAAGTTCAGGAATTTCCTTATCCAAAAACTTTCGTTAATTCAGTTGTGATTTTGATTTTACTTCCAAATTAGGTTGTGCAAAATCCCATAGGTTTTTTTTTTAATTTTTAGAAGAAAAGTGGCAAATGTCAATTTTCAAAAATACAGGAAACTATAAAAATTTAAAATCCAACTTATAGATGGCTTTATTAACATTATTATATAGGCCTTTGTATCTTTAATGCAGAAAAGTAGAGAGTAAAAAAAAATACATTCAGCTTTTAATTTCCAAAATAAGCATTTGATTCCACAGCGACACAATAATCTTAAGTGCCAAGATTTACTTAAAGAGAAAATGAGAAATTCCAAAAGTTCCCTCTAAATATTAAGTGTTAATCTTGGCTAATTCGGATCACAAAAGCTTACTGTAAACCATTGATAACGGGATTTCAGAGAAGTTCTGGCCAGGCAAGAAGACGAATGGAAAGCCTTCAGAGAGGAGGAAGGGGAGATTCAGATAAACAGAACCTGAAAAGAGACTACCCCCTTTGGGTCGCAGCCAAATACAGGAAGGCGCTAAGAAAATCCACAACAAAAATCCTAGATATGCAAATGGGGGAAGCCAAGAACATCTGAGAATCCAGCTCCTTTGCCTCACAACATTTAATGTGTCACACGCAGTTATTTTACCTCTGTAGGGTCAAAAGCACTGAAAAATGACACCGAGATTGTCTATTTGGGCTCAGTCATCCCTATATGTGTTGTATGACAGAGCCAGCATTTTGATCCCATCAAGGTAGCAGTCAGATTGGGAGAGGACAGCAACAGCAAGACCCACCAAGAATAGACTGCAAGTCTCACTCGCTGTGGACTCTTAACAGTAGTTAAGAAGTTACCCAGACATCACTCATGTCCGGTCCCAGTCTTTAGGAGACCAAAAGAAACCGAGGAAATGTCACACAATCCAGGGGGCCCTTCCCCATCACAAGAAGACATGTTCCTAGGCTTTCTTTTACATCCTGACGCCATCTTGGAATGAGAAAGCAAACACTAGCATAAGAGACTGGTAATCTACTCAGAAGAGGCCTTTTGCTGAAAGTTTAGATTTGTTCCCCTCTTTTCTCCCTGCTACCTGTCTCCCATTAGTGGTAAATGAGTGCAAGAAGAAATTACACTCAGAAGGAGGGACAATTTTTTTAAGGCAATTTGAGTTATGGTAATTTCAATTCAATTTTGGCATGCTATACAGATGTCAAAAGAAATTCTCTGATATGATTTCAGGACTGGATGATATTTTTCAATTATAGCCATTTTTTAAAAGCCTCACCTTTATCATATTGCTCCCCTTTGTCATTTCTCTACATTCAAGCAGCTATCTGTGCTATCTCATACTGCAGCCACTAGCCACATGTAGCCATTTAAATTAAAATAATTAAAACTGAATATAATTAAAACTTCACTCTCTCAGTCACATTAGCCACACTTCAGGTGCTCAGTTGCCACATGTAGCTATTTCCATCATCACAAGTTTTATTAGATATCACTGAAAATAGACTATACGATGCCTATTACCTCGTAAGAGGGGATATAAAATGGCCCAATACAGAAAAGGATGAGTATTGCTGACTTTGATTTCTAAAACCCTAAACCCATAGAGACATAAAAAGAAGTCCAAGGTATTAACCACAATGCTTGGGAGAATGGTGTTTAAAAAGACTGATGCTTTCTCCAAAGACAGGAACCCTGGCCTAGGGAGCAAGAAGATAGTGGTGAAGGGATAGAATCTAGAGATGAGGGACAGGAGCAGTTATTGGGAGTTAGGAAAGTTCAAAATACTCATTTCCTTTTCCTAATGTAGGCTGGAGACAAGAGAATGACCATCAAAAAAGGGACAGAGCACCAGAGTTTAAGGGATCAGGAGGAGAGGAACACAGCATGCCTCTGAGGTAAACAATAGGAAAAATAATTGAGGGCCACATGGGATAATGGACATCTCAGCAGACATCTGTGTGTGTAGTCAGAAGACTAAAAAAACAAGGTGAATTAGCCCTTTCATACACACCTCCCCCCACCTCACTCCCATACCAGTGCCTTGATACTAGTTACCCTCTCAAACTTCGATAAATCTCAGTATAGTGGTGGGGGTGGATATAAAAAAATTCACTTAAGTTAGGTTTCTGCCACTCAAATGGATGGCTGGTGGTTCTAAATGGATCTATACATCTTATTAACCAAGTTAGGAAATAAAATTATATTCATCCTCTGTATACTTTCTTATAATAAGGTGCAATATGTCAATTCACTAGGCCCCTGGCATCATGCCTCCTATAAAGAAAAACTGCCCATTTTGTCAACAGTCCTAAATTTGCAAATGACACTTTTGAGTGCTTTCCAAATTTGGGGGTAGATGCCACCATGTGTTCCTGGTGATTAATATGCATCTAATTTGTCAATTAGTATAGAACATCCAGTCCTGCTGATATCATAAGTTCAGAATGAAAAATATTGTTTTGGTAATTCATAAATATGCATGAAAATCAAAGACCAATATACATCACAGAAAAGAAACACTAAGAGAATGAGATACCTTGCATTACTTAGTTTTATGAAACTCCAAAATTCTTTGTAAGGAGTCAGGATATGCCATGGTCCAGTTAACTGGTTCATATAGAATAATATGGAAGGTTCTACCACTATCTTTTCAAAAATTTGAAATTCTTAAATACTGAAGACCATCGCTTAAAAACATACCAATGCAAAGTTTTCTTCACTACATTCATGATACACTGCGGTATGCGTCAATAGATAGTCAGACCTCAGGCCTGACAGTTTATTTCACTCATTTCATTTGGTTGGTTGTGTAGTTAATTTTCATAAGCCTAAAACCCAGAGTTGGAATTACAGGGACATACAAGAAAAAACTGCATACACTGAACCCACAAATGAGTAGACATTTTATTAGAAACTATTTGACTTTAACAATTTTCCCACTATCATTTTCTTTCTTAAGCTCACACTTACCTTTAAAACTGAGGACACTTTGCTTTCAACTTGAGTTTCCTTAAATTGATTCTATGGAGCTGAGTCATCAGAGAAGCCCCACTAACCACCTTTCTTTTTTAGTATATGTTTTCAAGCTTTGATTTTTAAGAGGCCTTCTAAAAACATTATTTCATTGTTGACATTTTTAAGGAGTGTACACTAGTAGCTACCATTTTCATTTCTCTTTACAACCCCTGTGCTGTAGGAAAAATTATTTTCCCACCCGTCAAAATAGGAGTAGGAGTTAAAAGGCAAACTTTTAAAACAGTGATATCAAGTTTCAAAATTCTATCAATTTCAAAATTACTGTAACACAACACAGCAATTCCTCATTGCTACCTCATTTAAACGTTCTCTAAACCTTGCATTTCTGTGTTTTAATTGACCTTTCCCAGTTTTCCACACTACCAACCACATAAAAAACATTCAGTTCCAAAGTGTTCTAAATTGCAAGACAATTCAATGAAATCAAAATATAATTTGTATTTCATTGGTTAGTTTTAAATTTGAAATAAGTGGTAATATTTATAATATATATTATAATATAACCATAATAGTTACAATACCATATGTTTACGAATCTGTATCTATATCTATCATGTATATAGCATTTGTGTAGCCAGCTAATATCTATCATCTATCTAGCTATGTATCTTATATCTGTTTATATCTATATCTGCCTCTCTATATGTCCATTTGATCCTTACAATAAAACCAAATAAAAGATATTATTAATTCAATTTTACAGATGAAGAAATATAATTTTATATTATATAAATAACTTGTACAACATTAATGCTAAAATCAAACCAGCAAAGGAAGCCTTAGGGATATTTTAAAGTGGTTGTTTGAGACTAATATTGCCTATTGGAGGTTATTGAACATTGCTAGTAAATGTGTATTTCATGGGCCTTTGGGTACCTAGAGTACAGGTTTAAGTAACCCCTGGTATATTTTCTGTTTTAAACCAAGGTGAAGAAACGGTGTAGCATACAGAAATTTAAATGCATTGTCTCACTTTTTAAAATTAGGGAAAAAATTATAAAAAGGAAGAGTTCAAGATCAAAGAGTAAATATACTTTGAGCAAGATGACTTATATTTGTTCAGCATCCTCACTTGCTGTGTTGTTATTCTTTACTTTTTTTGTAATTTTAAATATGGAAGAAAGAAGATTTCATTGCTTTAAACACGAAATTAACTTCCTAGGGGATAATCAAAGTAGTTATTCCATATGTAAACAGCATTTGAAATGACATCAAAGTTAATGGGCTCTAAAAACTGATTGCAAGTGATTTTGCATAGTTGATTCAAATGTTAGAAAATGTTTATCCTAAATTTTCTAGGGAATACATTTGAAATTATTTTTATAAATAATTATTAAAATCCTCCATTTATAATTGTGATGTCTAAGTACTGCAATTGATCCATAATGGTTTTTGCAGATGAGTATATATGTGCACAGTAGTAAAAAATGTGTACACATGGCCATTCTTTTGTAAATCTTCAATATACTAACAATTTGTGAATGAAAAACAAGCTTCTTTCACTGATTTCATTAGTACCTGTTAATAAAATGTATTTGAAATTTATTAAGCAATCCAGATATCCAATGGAGGCTATATATTAAGTATCTCGATTGCATACATACATATATATATATATATATAATTGTCCTTCTAATTAAGGATTAGGATAGTACTCACAAGTAGAGTAGAAATAGAAATTGGTACTTTAACAAATGCTTATAATTATTACTTAGTGGTGAACATTAGCACCTATTGTAGCTAGGTACTGAATTAATCAGTGACCTGATGCTCATATGTACTGAAAAAATTTATTTTAAGAATGTGAAAATGTGAATTAAATAATATATTATCCTTAAATCATATCTAAAATTGTTGGTTAAGATAGTGACAACAAAAGTCAATGCATTTAAAATCAGTTACATTTAGATTGTTGCATAGTAAATCATAATTTTAAATACACTATTTTCAATCAGAGGATTCAACTGAGATAGTAGGTAATAAATGAGCTTCAAATAGTGCATATAAGTTGCCGCTAGCCATAGCCACATCAATTTCAAAATTTCCCTGAGAGGAATAAAACTCAGACACTACACATTCATCTATCAATCGACCAAATGCCTGGTCCTTGTTTCAAGGCTATTGAATATTCATGCAGCTGTGACTTAGCACTCTTACAAAGTCAGCAGCTATTTCAGAGAAAAGCAAGAAAACATGATGAGAAACTTACCACAACGTCTATCACAATTCAGATAGTTAATTAAGAAAAAAAGTCATGTACTCTATAAAGTACATTCAGTTTTGTTAAGATCCATTCAAATATTCAACTGATTCCCCTAGAACTGAAATGGACAAATAATTATACTTGATCCTATATGCATTTTAACTTTTGTCCTGAAGTAACAAAAAATGAAACAAAATCAGTTAAAAGTATTTTTGGCAATCATCAATTTCCTAATATGTGTAAAATAATGTTGCACTGTTGGATAAAGTGTTCAGTTGTCAGAAAAAAAATACTGGCCCGATTTAATGAAATGATTATTAGAATTCCTTAAAAGTTATTTGTATAGTCTTTTCCTTTCCTTAACAAAACTGCAACCCAAAATGTGTTCTCTACGAAATAAATGGGAAAATAAACATAAAATAATAAAGCATGGCATAAAATGAAAGATGAGAACTGTTGGATTTGGGGTGATGGTCATATACTATATACCAGATTAGAGGTTTAACCCATATAATTGTACTTAATCCTTATAGTAGGTAGCTGTTATCCAATCTCTTATGGCTGAGGTTTTACAGATGAGGAAAGCTAGGCTTAGAGGTTAAGCAATTTCATAAAACTAGTAAAGTGAATTAAACCCAAAGTTTTCTAAGTCAAACTTTGTGTTCTTTCCATAACCCCAGGAGAATGGATAGTAGTCAGGGGCAAGAAATGCAAACTAATCTTCTTAGTTTCTCTGTAAATCTAAAATATACAGAAATTTGATCCTGTTCATGGAGATCATACTAGTGGGGCAGAATACATTCATTCTGACAATAGCAAATCTATTATTATGTGACAAAAAGGGCATTTCTCCTACTGTGACAAATTTTGAAAGGGGGAAACTTGTATCCCTAAATATATTTTAGTCTGTGTTTCCATGCCTCAAAAGCACCCAAACTACAAAGGTACGTTGTAATATTTCCAAGTCTTTTTAGGGAAAAACTTCCTGCACACACATTAGAGTTGTAGTTAGTCCTATAAATTGTTCTCAGCAGCTCAGTAGCACGTAAAGGCTAAGCTTTGTATCTGCATTAATCACTCACTGCATAGAGGATTGTACATTCAATGACCTAAGACAGAAAAGGAAAGCAGACAACCCTACTTGCTCACTGCCTGAGTGAGAGTTTGCATCACAGCTTCAATCCAGGAGTCCAAGTGCTTCAATTTCACACCCACTTACACCTATAACCACAGACACAATGGACAAGGACTGTGCTAAGAAGGCTAAAGAGAAAGTGGTTTCCAGGAAGTTATTGATGCAGGAGTTGTGAGTATAATGACCAGAATGACAAAATATGTGAAGAGACAGGCAAAACAATCTCAGCAGGCTTGAAAATGTTGGGGTCAAGAAAACTGTTCTGAACTTTTGTTTCAGAATAAGGTATTTGGTACTTAAATTACAATTCATCCACCTTTGATAATGTGTCCCCTTCACAAATATATTTAGTAATAAATTCGTAAGTATTACATGACTACATAAATTAACAGCTCCTTATCGGCTTTTAAAAGTTGTTTTTTTTTCTTTTGGTTCATCATAAAAAAAACAAAAACAAACAAACAAACAAAACAGAAGAAACAATAAAATCAACCAACCAACCAAAAATCTATGTCAATTTTGCTCTCTTTTTCATGGAGTTTGAATTACTGATAAAGAGATTCTCATAATTTTAAATATTAATATAAACCTGTACCCAGGTATTTAAATAGTAATCTACATTATTCTAGACCTTATTTTAAGGGTATTCAGGCCTGAGCCGGTTAATCTTGGTTTGTTCCCCTCATTAGATTTGCGGTCTGCCATTCTCTGCTCTGCTTTGTACCCTATGAACTGCACCATCTAAAGTTCCTTGGCCCCTAGCTCATATTAGCAGCAACCAGAGTCAGGAGGCTCCAACAGGAGTTTGAAGTGGTGGGGTCTGAGGGAGTTCTTAGTCCTCTGCCTGCCTGCCTCAGTGCCTTGACTCTAATGACACCTACCCTCCCCCAACCCTGCCCTTTAGGACCCTGAGCTCTCTTCAAGCTCAGATACCATAGTTTTCTCCACTTGCTTCTTCAGGCATTGGGTAGCTGACAACTTCCCACTGTTGCTTTTCCTTGGGCACTTCACCCTTAACTCTGACCATACCTCTGTAAAAGGTCCTTATCCTTAAACGGCTATTTACAGACGTATGGTCAGAGTTAAGTCACCCTCTAAGGGTTTCCTCAGGTAAACCCTTGGAGGGTGTCATCTGTGTCTTGGTGGAACTCCAATACAAGGCATTTTTGGAAGAAATCTATAATCTGACAGAGTAAAATAAGAAATGATTAGGACAATGGGGAATCATTAATGCAAGGATTAAATAATGCCAGAGAAAATGTTAGACTTCAGAAATCCATTCCAATCAAGTCCTGTGGTCTGTTGTTAAAGGTGCGTTCTAAATTTGATTCTAAGCTTTCAGAAACAAGAGGTTCATTTCCTGTGAAGTCAACAAAGCTTAAGCTTCAGGACCTTTCCCTTGCAGAGGACTCCCAAGGCCCTGGGAGGGGACCTAATAAATATGTTTACATGATAATTCATTTTTGTAAAATTTACACAAATGAGATATTTCAGTTATAATTAATAAAGACCATTGTCTCTTTCCAAGAAAACGTTATCCCTGTTACATTCTCCCCTCCTACTGAGTGGCTAAACAATGGCCGTGGGTAATTTGAGATCCAGTTGTGGTGAAGGTGAGTTTTGGATTCTTTATATTTGGGTTTTGTAGAATCTTCTCTAGATGCTTGATGTTTGGGCAAATATCAAGTATTCAACTCAACTAAGTTTAGGTTGGTGGAGGGGAAATTATAATATCTTAGAATATAGAATATTTAAGTTAAAAGAGAAAATAAAATCTTTAAACATTAGGCTGAAACTAATGTTAAATTTATCGATCATGGCATATGTCAGAGTGAAAAGAACAGGGGACTCAGAACCAAGTCACCTGCATGCTAATTAAGCTTCAGCACTTTTGTGGCAGTGGGCAAGACACTTGACCTCAATTTTATTATCTGCAGAATGATGGGGTTGGCATTGTGTTTCTTAGGTTCTTTCTCCATCTTAAGCCAACCATGACAACTTGATCTTATAAACAGTGCCTGGATGTAAAGAGCTCCAGCTTCCATGACTTAATTTTTTTGGACAGGTTACTCAATCTCCTTTTGACTCAATTTCCTCAAGGGCCACATAGAGATAACATTATATTTCTCTCTTTCTGAATGTGTTTGGCAGGAATGGTGAAAAATTATATTGTTCTTCTACTAAAACCTAGTGTACCTTAGTGACTAATGTACCACAGAAAACTCATTTTATGCATACTAACACTGGAGAAAAATAATCTTGGGAACTTGCAGGTATTTTTCACATGAAAACAAAGTATATTAAAGTACATTTTCATTCTCATAGCACTTTCTTTTTTTCCCTCACAGATCTTATCAGAATTGTTAGTTGTACATTTATCTGTGTGAGTTACATTTCTGTTTTTTTCCTCTGAAAGGTGACGCTCCTAGTGAATGGTACATAATAAATACACAGTAAGTGTTTGTTGATTATTCATGAATGAATGAGTGAATGAATGAATGCTGGCTAATTATGTGCTTAATTCATGTAAGGCAATAGAAACAAGTATGGCCACAATTTTTTTTATTTGAAAAGAAGATACCTAGCTCATTTCCAAAATTTAGACACAAACATACATGGCAAAATATGCATCGCATATACCTGAAAACTGATACCTTAGCCTTCTTGGTGCCTCAAACCAGATCCTGTTCAGACATGTTATAATAAATTATTATAAGCTTATTTTGGTGCAAAAACATTGCAAATCCATGCATAGTTTTTTCATAACATATATTTTCTATGAACTTTTTGAAGATCATGTATATAAAATATGAGCATGTGTGTACATTTATATATATAAAACTTTCAAAAGAAAAATACGTGATATGAAATTTAAATGTCTTTCTTCATAACACTAATAATGGAATCTTTTTCTCTGAATCAAACCTGATATTTAGGAACTTTAAAAATATATTTAGGCTTTGTTAGAAATTCTACCACATGTATATAGATATTTTCTCTATATATGAGAAAAAATATGATATATATCATAAATGTATATATCCATATATGATACATAGAAGATCCATATACATATGGCAAAATGTGTGTGTAAATAAAAATATATATCCCAAAACTACTTAAAGTCACTGAATGCACGTTTTTCAAAAAGCATATTTTTAAAAATCACTTTAAAATTCATATAATAGCTTTTTAGATTGTCAGGTTATACCTTCTTGAGAACTAGAATCTTTTTAATGAGACAATATATTATCTGAAATCACTGATGCCTTATGAAAAGTTAATGTTGACAATGCCCCAAAGAAATTAGCAGCTTACAAACAAATGACTTATTTTAAGAAAGGAGAAGATGATGTGATGTTCAAAATGAAACCAACCACATTGATTTGTGAGGAAAAATTAATCTTGTTCGTGCCCTAAATGAGAAAGACTGACAATTGACAGCACCAACAACAGCCAGTATCTTAGATATCTCAGTTGGTTCAGCTTACCCGATTTTGACTGAGAAAGTAAAGTTGAGCAAACTCCACTGATGTGTGCTAAAACCACTGTGGCCAGATCAGCTATGGAAAAGAGCAGAGCTTTAAATGGAAATTTTAAACAAGTAGGATCAGGATCCTGAAGCTTCTCTGCAAAAAAAATTGTAACAGGAGATAATCATGGCTTTACCAGTATGACCCTGAAAACAAAGCACAATCAAAGCAATGGCCACCAAGAGGTAGAAGTGATCCAGTCAAAGCAAAAATGGATCAGTCAAGAGCAAAGGTCATGGCAACAGTTTTTAAGGATGGTCAAGGCATTTTGTCATTGACTTTTTAGAGGGCCAAAGAAAAATCGTATCTGCTTATTTTGAAAGTGTTTTGAGAAACTTAGCCAAAGGTTTAGCAGAAAAAATATCCAGGAAAGCTTCACCAGAGACTCCTTCTCCACACAACAATGCTTCTGCTCATTACTGTCATCAAATAAGGGCAATTTTGCAAGAGTTTGATGGGAAATCTTCAGGTGTCCACCTTACAATCCTTCTTTGGCTCCTTCTGACTTCTTTTTGCTTCCTAATCTTAAGAAAGCCTTTAAAGGACACATATTTTCTTCAGTTAGTAATGTAAAAAGATTATATTGACATGGTTAAGTCCCGAGAACACTCAGTTCTGTAGGAATGGACTGGTATCATCACTTACAAAAGCGTCTTACACTTTAGGAAGCTTATGTTGAGAAATAAAGTATATATATATTTTGAGACAGAGTCTCGCTCTGTCGCCCAGGCTGGAGTGCAGTGGCGCCATCTTGGCTCACTGCAACCTCCGCCCCTCCAGATTTAAGCAATTCTCTGCCTCAGCCTCCAGAGTAGCTGGGATTACAGGCGCGTGCCACCATGCCCGGCTAATTTTTTTTTTTCTTTTTTGTATTTTTTTTAGTAGAGACGGGGTTTCACCATCTTGGTCAGGCTGGTCTTGAACTCCTGACCTCATGATCTACCTGCCTCGGCCTCCCAAAGTATATTTTTATTTTTTTAATTCCCTTTCTTCCACAGACTTTTGTGGTTCTTTCATATCTGCTACATAAAAATGAATAACTTTCTCAAGTTTGAGTCAGCACAATAACACAGAATTTGCCTTATATTAAAGAACTTTAATTTTTGGTTCTTTCCTTCCCCATTGTCTGTCTTTCTATTTTTTCTATGTTCTATTGCTTTAAATTTTCTATTTCCACCTCATATACTGAACTTTTATTTTGGCTCTCATATTTTTAATTTCTCAAAGTTCTCTCTTGTTCTCTGAGTTTTAAAAATATATAATTCACTTTTTGTTTCAGAGATACAATATACAATTACATTTAATTCAGGACAATAATTTATAACTTCTTTAAATTTATCTTTGGCACCCTGAAAATCTTCATTTTTAGGGTAGTTTTAACCTCTTTTATTTAAATTCTTAATTTTATGGGTATTCCTTAACTTATTTAGGAGTAAAACATGAATAAGTTGATTGGAAACTCTACCTCTGTCTGTGTATGGTACAACTAATCAATGAATTTCACAGAAATGCAAATTCAGCTTTCTGTTAGAGATATTCAATGTTTAAATATGTTGAAAACTTTTAGTCTGAGTTTCCCAGGGTCTGTTGAGTCTTTCCCTGAAGGTAAATGGTACCAATATTTAGGGTTGAGAAGAGTAAGAAAATGAAGCATACTCTCCTTTTTCTTTGAGTATTTTACCCACCGAGTTTGTCCATCATGTTACCCCATGCTCTTATGATACTCAGGAGCCAAGTCTAAATATTACTTGATTTCAGGAATATATGGTGATTTGAGTGACTAGTAATAATTTATAAATTAAATTAGATGAATTTATGATATATGGCTCCAGTTCTATTTTTAAAAATAATCTATTTATGTATAGCTAGTATATCATAAACACATCCTCAAAATTTCTCTGGAAATTTTCCCTACATTAACATTAGAATCTCTCATAGTTGCAATTTTTATATCACATTGCACTCATTTTTCTCCCAATGGAAATCAAGTTCCTCTTAATAAAGGTTATATTAAAAGAGGGCCTAATTAAAAGTAGGCCAGACATGTCAATTCAGATTTCAGTGACCCCATTATAAAATGTAAGATTAAATCTCAAGAAATGGTCAAATTCTGTATTTTTTAAGTGTTGTCTAAAAAATACATCTTTTGTAACTTGTTTGCCTCTGAGTTAGCAAGATTATTATAAAAAGATGGAAATTGAGCTTTAAAAAAGTATAGTTTAAACTGTAACAATGCAATAGAATGAAAACTAAGAAGTAAATGTCTAGGAAAGGCATTGTGTAGACTCAGGAAAAAAATAAATAACATTCAGATCAATATGTAAGACTGACAAGGTAGATAAACCAAGTAGATTAAATCCAGAGTGACAGGGACAACCAGAGGGCAGACATGAGAGCTATCAAGACTATACAGGAACATTACAAATTCTAGGACACTATGACTGAGAACAAGAGAAAGATTGAAAACTAACATTCCAAGCTAGATTTATACCGTGTCTGTTGCCGCATATTTCAGAAAATTTAAAATTAATAAAAAATCTATATTTCCAGTTTTTCTTAATAACATATCAAGTCAGGAAATACTTGCCCACATTTCTAAATGACAGAAGTCATGAGGAGCTGAGAAGCAGATGTCCTCTTCAGATAGTTTATTAGTGTTCCTACCAGCCACATAGTGTAGGTAGTCCTATGCACTTACATCTGTCACTGTTTATCCACTTAAGTATCTGCTTGGTCCAAGCAGGCCACTGCATTTGCTATGCCTTATATGGGGCATTTGCAAAGACAGAGGGACACTGCCGTAAAGGTATAATGAAGGAAACTATTAGCAGGTATTTATAAACTTAAATCAGACGTCACTTCTCTGCTCACAATCTTCCATTAGTCCTACATCTCAGGAAAAATGGAAGCCAAAGACCTGGCAATATTGACGCAATCTCAGCTCATAGGCCACAAAATTCATCTTGATTCCAGTGGCCCATCAAATATTCTTCATATAAACATTTCCTTAATATAAAGCAATACATATTGTAGAAAAATTAAATAGAAAACATGTAAAGGGAAAATATTACTCATAATTCCATTGTCTAAAACAATCACTGCACTAGTTGCTTTTAGTACATATAATTTTTGTAAGCCAACTTTTAAAAATTTAATAATAATGATGCAAACAAATTTTCCAAATCAACAAAATTTTTGAAAATATTTTTGTTTTATGGCTGTATCATCTTATCTTATGATATCATAATTTAATTATTGCCAGATGTTTGGGTGCTTAGTTTCTAGAATAGGGTATTATAAATACTAGCACCATGTAAATCTTTATCAATATCTCAGATTACTTTTGCTTAATAAATTCTTGAAAACAGAATTATGAATCAATTTATTTAAAAATGTATAGGTACATGTACCCAACTTTACATGTTTCCAGCAATGTGTATATTAATCTAACCAATATCAACTATTTTTATTTAAAAATATTTATTTATTTTTTTAAGAAAACACTGAATTGGCCAGGCGCGGTGGCTCATGCCTATAATCCCAGCACTTTGGGAGGCCAAGGTGGTTGGATCACCTGAGGTCAGGAGTTCAAGACCAGCCTCGCCAACACAGTGAATGGCAAAACCCTGTCACTACTAAGAATACAAAAATTAGTCAGGCGTGGTGGTAGGTGCCTATAATCCCAGCTACTTGGGAGGCTGAGGCAGGAGAATCACTTGAACCCGGGAAGCAGAGGTTGCAGTGAGCTGAGATTGTGCCACAACACTCCAGCCTGGGCGTCAAGAGGGAGACTCCATCTCAAAAAAAAAAGAAAAAAAAAAGTGAAAGAAAAAGAAAACATTGCATCAACTCCTTATGTGTCCTCTGTCATTTTATTTGTGGTGTTTGTTATACAAAATTTTTAATTGTGTGGAGTCAAATATAGTTATTTCATTATGGTCCCTTCCTTTGACTTTCATGATAAATAGTGCTATTGCTGCTAACAGCATAGTCTGATAAATTTTACGAAGAATTATAATTTTTTATTTCTTTTAACTAACAATATTTCTGAAACTTAATTTGATATATGGTAAGATATGAGTTTCTACACTATTTTTGTTCTTGCCAAATAACTTGTGCAGTGCATTATATGATTGAAAGTTATCAAATTAAATAAAAGTATTACAGTAATTTGTTGTTCTGAATTTATTTTCTTTGGTTCGATTTCAACCTTCAGGCTACCCTGATTGTTATCTTGCTTTATATTTATACAACAGCTTTTATCTTCAAATAGGGTATTCTCTATTTGGAGGTAAAACAAAATAAGCTAAAATTACTTCAAGTAAAAACAGACTGGGTTAGTTGTACACTTGAAATAATGCTTTATTTTCAAATTGTTTGAAATATTACCTGATTCTTGTAAAATACAGTTAAAATTCAGTGAGGGTATATCTGACCCACAGTGGGTTTTGGAAAGAAAGATTCAGCTGTAAATGTAGAGTGGGAAGACACTCATCTGCAACTGGTTCCCCAATTGCAGTGGCCAGTGACTTCTTCCTTGGATCCTGGATTCATGGTCAACCATGACAGTGGAACCTCCCTTGTCTGGCTAACTAAATCACCCAGTAACTTCCTATTATTTGACCTGTCTGTCTCACATTGCTCTTTACTTATAGTATTGTTGCCCATTCCCTACTCAACTAGAGCCAACACTTTAATCCCGTTGTCATACCAGACAGAGTAAAATGCACAGGTTCCTAGGTTAAGTTTAAAAATATACTTATGGATATCAAATTTGGAATGAACAGCTATTGAATCTCTGTTGGATTAAATGAAAATAAATTCTAAAGTACACTAACCTAGTGCCTAGTCCTATTATAATCTAATTTTTGTTGTTTTTGATGTTGTTATGATTTGCTTGTGTAGAGACTTGTCTAAGTCTAGTCTAGTTATCTAATCCTGGATTAGTAGTTTGAAAAGAAAGAGAATATAAATATTGAGAAAAAAGTGCCTTTTAGTTAAAAGTGGCACAATGGAGCCAGGTGTGGTGACTAACTGCTGTAATCTCAGCACTTTGGGAGGCCATGGTGAAAGGACTTCTTGAGGCCGGAAGTTTGAGACCAGACTGAGCAACATCGCGAGACCCCATCTCTACAAAAATGAGAAAGATTGGCCAGATGTGGTGGCACATGCTTGTAGTCCTAGCTGCATGGGGGGCTGAGGTGGGAGAATCACTTGAGCCCAACCTGGGAAACAAAGGGAGATGCTGTCTCTACAAAACAAAATAAAATAAAATAAAGTGGCATGATATAGTTTGGATATTTGTCCCCTCAAAAACCTATTTTGAAATTTGATGCCCAATGATGTTGAAGGTGCAGTCTAGTGGGAGGTATTTGGGTTGTAAGGGAAGTTTTTCATGAATGGCTTGGTGTCCTCTCCACCATAATGAGTGCATTCTAGCTCTATTAGTTAGAGCTGGTTATTCAAAAAGGTGACACACCTCTTTGCTCACTCTCCTTTGCCCTCTTCTTTCTGCCTATTCCCCTTAGCCTTCCTCCATGATGAAAGCTTCTTGAGGCCCTTACCAAAAAGAGATACTTATATCATGCTTCTGGTACAGCTTGCAGACTGTGAGCCAAATAAATTTATTTTCTTTATAAATTACTCAACCTCCAGTATTCCTTTATAACAACACAAAATAGACTAAGACATGGAGGCACACAATCCAGTTTTTTCTTTAAAAGCTAGTTAGTTAAGTACATTTATGACAGATTTTTGAGTATTTGTTTAATGCTGCTCTAAAACTAATCTAATTTCCAAGTCCAATAGAGATCTTAATACTTATATATTATTTACCTATTTTATATACATGTGTATGATTTACCTACTTATCTGAATGTATGCCTCAAAGGAAGAATGAACTAACTATAAGACCAATTGCCACTGATATCATGTAGCTCTTCTGGTTGCTGATAGCCAGGTTTAGAAATTAAATTCTATCCTGTTGGGTTGTTCTAGTTATTCCATTCAGAGTGGAGCCTCAAAGACTTTGGGATTAAAGGGGTTGAAGAGCTCTCAGCAAGGTTAACCAGCTCTACCACAGTTCAAATAGATGAAGAGTCCAAAATGCTCTAAAGGCCGTTACCAAAGTGCATAGCTGGGCCTACCTTTCAGCACACACTTCAAAACCTGCCTCTCTCTACCCTGTGCACTACTGGTCTCTTTCTCCTCTCTCTTGCCCTGCTGCTTACTTTGTACGGATCTATTTTTACTGCCTCTATCTTTTCTGCTTTCTTCTTTTTTTTTCTGTTCCTTAATGTATTGGTTTTTTTTTCCTTCTAGTTGCATTCTTCTTTCCTCCTCCTACACTTACCTGACAACAATATACTTGTGTCTTAGTCCGTTAAGGCTACCATAACAAATATCACACACTGGGTTGTTTATTCATGACAGAAATTTATTTCTCACAGTTCTGGAGGCTAGAAATCTAACTTCGAGGTAGATCCTTTCTTTGGCAAGAACCAACTTTCTGGTTCATAGACAACACCTTCTCACTATGTCCTCACATAGTGAAAGGGACAGGGAGTCTCTCTCAGTCCACTTTTGTAAGGGCGCTAATCCCACTGTCATCACCTAATCACTTCCTGAAGGCACTACCTCCTAATACCTTCCGTTGGGATTAGGACTTCAACATGTGAATTTTAAGAGGTTATATTCAGACCATAGCAACCTATGAAAAGCATTTTTTGTTATTTGACTATTTTTTAAGTGTTTACTGTTCTCAATTATTTCTCTATAGGAAAAATATACTACATTAATTTTTAAATGATGCTTTTCTATTGAACATATCACTAAAGTGTATTTTGGTTTACTTGTTTCTCTATTAAAAAAAAAGATGGCCCTGCTTATCAGAGCCACTTATTTTTCCTAAGCCACCTCAGTCTAAACCTCAATATAGACTGAGATTTCAAATGGAATGATTCATTAATGCTGGCAGATAAGACTGCCTGTGGTGGATGGCACGTTGCCCACCAAAATTTGTGCTTCTCCTTTCATGTATTTTTTTTTTCCTGAAAAGCAGCTACCTAGCCAGGGACTTTATTTACCAATACTCTTTGTGTCTAGGTGTGGCCATGTGACTACTTTTGCCAATGAAATTGTGAGCAGAAGTGGCTCTTCCATTCCAAAATGAGCCAGTGTGCCTTCTGTGCAAGCGTTCCCCTTTCTCTACTTGAATTCAAGAGACCCTATGTCCCTTAAGGGTGCAGATCCACAAGGAAGAAATCTGAATCCTTGCACCACCCAATGAAGAAAAGCCACCCACAAAGCAGGAGCACGTTCACTGAACTGTTACATGAGCAAGAAATAAAGTTCTATTGTGTTCAGTTTGGGGTTTATTACAGCAGCAAACATTACCCAAACTAGTGCACAATTGATTTTGATTTTTTTTGTCTAGACTTGAATATTTTTATATCTAACAAATATTGAATTTTATGCAAATGACTCCTATATAATTTAGAAATTAGAGAATTCTAGGATAGATATCTGAAAGAGAAATAATTTATAGAATGTAAAAATCAGAATAACTCAGTAAAATAGGATAAGAAATTTTTTAAATTGAATTACAAAAAGCCACCATTTGTATTTGTGTGCATAACTTCAAAACATGTCAGGTAAGTCATTGGACAACTTGAAGTAATATCCTTTTTGAAATGTTTTATTATCATTATAATGTTTCTCTGATATTGTTATTACTACTATTAGCATTATTATTTTAATTATTAAATTCAAGAGTTTCACTGAATCCTGGAATCAATACAGTGTTATTATTTTTATAACAATACGATCAATCTTACGTAACAAAAATCAAAGTGAAATTACATGAATATGAGCAATTCACACACACACACACACAAATAGATGCAAAACTGGCTGTTAGATCCAAAGGCAGGAATTCTTTAAATGATCTAAACCTGGATATATTCCTCAATTTCAGATCATTTACTTCATCCAACCTTCCTTTGATTACACCCATATTCTGAATGAAGTCAGCTATTACCCCTCACAGTTTTTCATTCTATCCACCTGTCTTTTATATGTTCTAAAGCAAGGATCACAAGCTCAACAGTTTATAGGGGCTGAAGGGGTGGACAAGGTCTCTGCATCATACTTTCCGGGAAGGGTGGGACTTGTGATAAATGGAGAAGGCTATGCCTCCTCAGGTTGATTGTTGTTTATTTTTTCTCACTTGAAAATAATGTTGACCTTCCTGTTTTTATCAAAGCCACTGTGGTCAGTATAGACTGAGGTTTTAAATGGATGGATTCATTAATACTGATGGATAAGGCTGCATATGTTGTCTTATGGAAACGCTGGCCTAGTGCTTTATTTATTCATTCATTTATTTATTTGAGACAGAGTCTCTCCTTGGCCTCCCAAAGAGCTGGGATTACAAGCATGAGCCACAGTACCCAGGCCCTGAAAGTGTATTTTAAATTGGTGAAGAAAATAAAGACCAAGATCATTAGAGAGCACAGATACTTTGGCCTGTCTTTTGACTTAACATAATCTAAAGAAATGTGGCAGTTTCTAAGGTTTTATTAATGAATGGATTATCAAGATGGTTATTTTTACAGGGTGATATCTCATCAAATTAAAAAAAAATTCATGAATAAAGTAAATGAAGAAAATTTGGATGTCTTTTTCATGTAGCACCCACTTGATCATAACTTGAAAGTCCTTTAAAAATTCCTCACTTTTGCCGGTAGATCACTTGAGGTCAGAAGTTCAAGACCAGCCTGGCCAAAATGGCGAAACTCCCTCTCTATGAAAAATTACAAAAATTAGCCCTGTGTTGGATCATGAGATCAGGAGTTTGAGACCAGCCTGACCAACATGGTGAAACTCCTTCTCTGCCAAAAACTACAAAAATTCGCCCAGTGTGTTGGTGCGCGTCTGTCGTCCCAGCTACTCAGGAGGCAGAGGTGAAAGAATCCCTTGAACCTAGGAGGCAGAGGTTGCAGTGAGCTGAAATCATGCCACTGCATTCCAGCTTGAACAACAGAGTGAGACCTGTCAAAAAAAAAAAAAAAAAGAAAAAAAGAAAAAAAAGAAAAAAATTCCTATGATACTATTTATAAATAAATTCTGAATGATCCATTGAAACATTCAAGTTGGGGGAAAGAAAGACTGTATAATGGCAAAGTAGTGAGATCCCAAGAAGCAGATTCTAAGCTAGTCTGCAGTGACAAGAAGTAAACAACTTAAAATAACTCTTAAGAAAACTAAGTTATCAAAGATTTGCATTGAACCAGAGCCAGTATAAATGCACTGAGGACAGTACATCTTTTACTAGTTAGGAAAAGAAAACCATATGCAGCATGAAGAATGAACTTTCAGTTTTACATAATACACACAGTATTCCATGTAAGCCTTTTAAGAAATACAAATATCTGAATAAAATAAACAACGGAACCTCGCCAATATAGTACGTATTCTTGCCAAATAGTAATGTATGGAATCCTTACTCTTTATGTATATCTCTGTCAAAATGAAAAGATGTGCACTACACAGGAATTCTTTAAGATTTCTGGAATAAATCAGCAAAATGCAATTGAATAAACAATATTCTGAAATGGCTGGCTCCTGAGTAACTGTGTTTTATTCATTTTTTGTTTTTTTATTTTTTGCTTGTCTGTTTTGCAAATTTGATTAGGGACTATTAGAATTTAGAAAAAGCTTATTTTTTTCAAGAAGCTAGTCACTTTCGTTTAACTGCAGGTTAACTTGAAACCCTTGGTAACTTAGAGGTGCCACATGAGTCCTGTTATATGCACATAAGAACTGTATCATTAATTCACCACACATTCATTAAAAAGTCATTTTACTTAGCACTCTACAAAGAGCTATGAAGGACATAAAATATACTGTCCCTGTCCTAAGGGATTACACAG
This sequence comes from Homo sapiens, assembly GCF_000001405.40. Taxonomy (NCBI): domain Eukaryota; kingdom Metazoa; phylum Chordata; class Mammalia; order Primates; family Hominidae; genus Homo; species Homo sapiens. The sequence continues at coordinate 68,676,662 of NC_000006.12, read as the reverse complement.
TCTAGCTGGAAATGCAAGACCATAGAAATATTAGGAAACAAAAACAACGTGCATAAAAATGTAGTTTGAAAGAGATTCACAACATAGTCGCTTAAACAGCAGTTCTCTGGCTATGAATTAGCTTCATTGCAATGTCGTTATTGCATTAGCATTCTGGAACGATAATACCATCCACAAAAATGGCAGGCTTTCGTTTAAGAAACAACCAACCAAATTTTTGAAGTCAACTTCATTCTCTCTCTCTCCTTTTCTTTTTTTTTTTTTTTTTTTTTTGAGACAGAGTCTCTCTCTGTCGCCAGGCTGGAGTGCAGTGGTGCGAGCTGGGCTCACTGCAACCTCCCACTCCCCGGTTCAAGCCATTATCTCGCCTTAGCCTCCTGAGTAGCGGGATTACAGGCACGCGCCACCACGCCCAGCTAATATTTTGTACTTTTAGTGGAGACGGGGTTTCGTGATGTTAGCCAGGATGGTCTCCATCTCCTGACCTCGTGATCCGCCCGTCTCAGCCTCCCAAAGTGCTGGGATTACAAGCGTGAGCCACCACGCCAGGCCTCATTCTCTCTTTTAAAGAACAGTACTATTTAAGTTGAAGCACTTTGTGTAAATACATACAAATAATTTTTTATCCAAATGTTAAAATGAGGCAAAGAAAAGCAAATAGTATTGTAAGTGAAAGACAAAATGGAGGTAAATAGTGATATATGTAATTAGAAAAATACAAGAATAAAAAGATTAGAGTAGCAGTGGTTTCATAAAAAGCGGATTCTTCAATTTCTACTCATTTGGGGTTTTGATGATTGGGAGAAGTTTCCAAATAAGAGAATGACTGAAGACCCTGTCTGAAGCTTCGCCACTAGGGAGAAATGAGAAAAGCAGAGTATGCTGCTTAGTCACTGAGGGCTCTTCCACAGGAAGGCCTGTGGTCCCACTTACAGGGGAAGGTAACTGGAGAAGCTGGTGCCCTGGCGATGAAAACTCCTCTTGCAGTGGATATCTCTGTAGATCTTTTTTTCATTTCCATCCATTCACTCGTGCTGCTTCTTTCCAGTCAAAATCTTGCTTCTACTTGATTTTTAGCTTTTCCTGTGAGTTGTCTTGCTCTTTCAATCATATATGCATGCTTTAGACTCTTCCCTCATGTTGATTTCAATTTTATTTTTATTCTAACATTAATTTCACTCAAATTAATTTCTTAGTTCTAAATACCATTTTTTTGAATTTTAAGTCCAGTTATAATAATTTCCTTTTTTCTCCTTGCTTTGGAACTTCTGTATCCCCAGTTTTAAATCTTTTGTGTACTTGTTTCACTATGTTCTACTTTGTTATTGCTTTAGGGCCAGAATTTAAATTTTGTAGCAGTAATTTATCAACTTATCACATATTTCCTTTGTTTTCTCTTCTCTGTATTGATTGTAAGCAATATGCAAACCTGGAAGAGGTGATGTAAATATGTCTAAGGAGGATGGAGGATATCTTACTTCCAGCTTCTCCTGCCCTTTCTAACCATGAGTTCAGAAGAAAATATTACCTTTTTTCCTGACAACACCATCCACAAGCAACTAAACTGCATCAATGTTAGGACTGTGTAATAAATCTCACTATTCGCAATACATATTGAAGGAAGAGCCTGAAACACATCAGTTAGACACAGTAAGGACATCCCCTGAACCAGGGTCCAAAACATAATCTTTAACTTCCCTATCTTATATTTTACACTGATCCACACCCTATACTCCAGGTAGAACCTATGAACGCTGAGTATGTTCCTCTGCTCTCCCAATACAGTTTTAGAAAAACATACGATTTGGAACTAGAAACATTTTGAATTAAATTTTGCCTCTTTTACTTAACTGCTGTGGCACTCTGGAAAAATTATTTCAGCTACTGCTTTTGTGTTGGCTTCAAATGAATGCCGTTCTCTTCTTCCTTTTGTTCTTTGCATCTCTATAGACTGCACCTCTTTCTGGAAGAGTTTCAGCACATCTAAACATGTTGAAATACAAAATGTCCTTCAAGGTATAGCTCATAGGTCACCTGGACTTGAAATCGATTTTCCCTTTGCATGATAAACCAAGAGTAGTACCGTATTTATAGCTCTTTCAAGCTGTGATTAAATTCTAGTTCTTCTAACATTTCCTTTGTATTTGCTTTGTCACGCCTAATAAGTGGTAAACATCTCAAAAATAGAAAAATAAGATTTTCATTTGAATTTCCCCTGTGACATCTAGTACATTTATTTATGCATGTTTGTGTAAAAGTGGTTGCATTTTTAATGTATAATATTTTTATCACTATTTGTGGCAAAAAAATTCCCTTCTATTGTCTTACAATGTTTCATGCCGTCTAAAATTTTTTTAGCTTTTAAAATCATGTTACGTTGCAACTAATTCATGTTATTACCTAAAATATTTTGACAGCATTCCAAACAAAAATCAATCAAAGAAAGCACACTATTAACATCAGAAAATCCTTTCTCTCTCTAACTGTATAAGATGCCAACCACTCAGACAGCCTCAGATAAATTGCCTCTAGTATAGTGTCTTAAGGTCATCATATCCTATGATTCTAAAAATAGGTGTGAGATGCTTTCCAGGGAACTTCTAAATAATAGAGATCTTTAGAAATGACTTTGGCTTTGGACTTTGAAGGCTGTCCCTTATTTTATAGTATAAGAAATCTAATTATTTTAAATTTCCTTAAATTTACTATAATTTTGGCAACTCTTCCAGTAATTGTTCTCACTCAAAGGCACATAGAGATAGCAGAATAGGAAGTAAATAGTCCCTATTCCCTCTGCATTTGAAGGACAAAGATTTGTCCCAGGACAATCTTAATGAAATATCCAAATGTGAAACCTGCTTCAGGAGAATTAGGCACTAAATTTAGAAATAAAAACCTTCCCAAGTTCACTAATGGGTAACAAAAAATAAGGGTCTGGAAAAAAGCCCTGAAAAAAAAGCCAGGGAAATTGTTTTATCATCTCTGAAATTAAGGGAAGTAGCAGGATAAAGATTGCTAGTAAAACCCCAGTGACAATTATGTAGGTTTCCAATAACATGTTAAGGTTTTATCTTTTGCCCTCTTCTAGTTTCCAGAGTCTCTTTTATTTCAGGAACACACTGCTCTCTCTTTCTAGCTAATACAAGGATAGTCAAACAATTCCTCTCACAAACAGCAGGTAGCAAGATAATCTGAGAATAACAGAGGTTATGGAGACTGATAACACTGAGTTTTCAGCATTGCTTCATACCACACACTGCTGTACATATTATCTTTTCTGGGAGTGAGTTTTTCTCCTGTTAAATGGCAATAGTAATTAAACTTACTTCCCAGGGTTTGTATGAGAAGTAAATAACTAGTAGTAAATAAAGATTCTTGAACTTGGTAGGTTACTTCCCTCTCTTCCTTCTATGCTGTCTATTAGTCAGAAAGGGAAATGAGGGAACTTATCTACCAAGGATAAGAATCTCTACTTATTTTCAGTTATTTTTATACCCATTCGAACCCTTGAAGGTGACTTTAATCGTTCTTGTCATTTAATTATTATTGCACCTAACATACACAAACATACACACAGACAGATGCAAACAAACACATACGTATACACACACACCTACTGAGAGAGAGAGAGAGAGAGATTCAGTTTAAGGAATTTTGGCTCACATAATTGTGGAGGCTAGCAAGTGTAAAATCTGCAGGGCATTCCTGTGGTCTGAAGATGCAGGGAAGAGTTGATATTGCAGCTCCAGTTCAAAGACAATCTGGAAGCAGAAGTACTTTTTTGCGAGGAGACCTTAGTCTTTTCTCAGAAGGCTTCAACTGACTGGATGATGCCTACCCATATTATGGAGAGTAATCTGCTTTAATGAAAGTCTACTAACTTAAATATTAATTACATTTAAAAAAATACCTTCCCAGCAACATCTAGACTAGTGTTTGACCAAAACCTGGGTACCATGTACTAGCCAACTTGACACATAATCTTAACTATCAAACTCTGCAGTAGACAGTAATCTCATTTCAAGGTAAGCTCAACCCAGATATTGCGCACTCCTGTATACCAGGCAGCCCTGTGATCTTTGCTACCAAAGGTAAATATGAAGATATTTCTTGGAATATAAAAGGGCCTTATCCATTCATTAAGTTAAATTTTATTAAATATTTTCTCAGTAAAAATTTCTTGAAACAACTGTTAGTGGAAACATAACATATAAAAACCAATGAGATACAGCAAAAGCAGTACTCAGAGGGAAAGTTACAGCTACAAGTGCATGCATCAAAAAAGAAGAAAAACATCAAATAAACCGGTTAGTGATGCATTAAAAAAAGAATCAGAAAAGTAAGAGCAAATCAAACCAAAAATTAGTAGAAGAAAAGAAATAATAAAGATCAGATCAGAAACAAATGGAATTGAAATGAAGAAAGTAATACAAAAGATCAAGCAAACATAAAGTTGGATTTTTGGAAAGTTAAACAAATTTACAAACTTTTAGCCAGACTAAGAAAAAAAAAGAGAGAGGATTCAAATAAATAAAATCAGAGATGAAAAAAGACATTATAATTGATACTGCAGAAATTCAAAAGATCATTAGTGACTACTATGAGCAACTAAATGACTATAAACTGGGAAATTTAGAATAAATGGCAAATTCCTAGATGCATACAACCTACCAAGATTGAACAAGAAAGAAATCCAATACCTGAACAGACCAATAATAAACAACAAGATCGAAGCAATTATTAAAAATCTCCCAGTAAAGAAAATCCTGGGACTCATGGCTTTACTTCTGAATTCTACCAAATACTTAAAGAAGACCTAATACCAATCCTACTCAAACTATTCTGAACAAGAGAGGAGGAGGAAATACTTTCAAACTTATTCTATGTGGCCAGTATTACCCTAATGCCAAAATCAGACAAAGACGCATCAAAACAAAACAAAACAAAAACCTACAGGCCAATATCTCTGATGACTATTGATGGAAAAATCCTCAACAAAATCTTAGCAAATCAAATTCAACAATACATTAAAAAGAGCATTCATCATGACTAAGTGGGATTTATTCCTGGGACAGAAAGATGATTCAACATATGCAAATCACTCAATATGATACATCATAACAAGAAAATAAAAGATAAAAGCCATATGATCATTTTAATTGATGCTGAAAGAAGCATTTGATAAAGTTCGAAATCCCTTCATGATAAAAACCCTCAGAAAACTTGAGATAGAAGGAATATGCCTTAACACAGTAAAGGTGATATATGACAGACCCACAGCTAGTATCATATTGAATGGGGAAAAACTGAAAGCCTTTCCCCTAAGACTTGGAAAACAACAAGGTTTCCCACTGTCACCACTGTTATTCAACATAGTATTAGAAGTCCTACCTAGAGCAATCCGACAAGAGAAAGAAACACAGGACATCCAAATTGGAAAGGGAGAAGTCAAATTATCCATGTTTACAGATGATATAATCTTATATTTAGGAAAACCTAGATTCCCCCAGAAAACAATTAGAACTGATAAAAATTCAGTAAAGATGCAGGATACAACATCAACATACAAAATTTAGTAGCATTTTTACATACCGACAGTGAACAATCTGAAAAATAAATTTAAAAAGTAATCCCATTTACAATAACCACACATCAAATTAAATACTTAGGAATT